>NC_000020.11:4460274-4611789 GCF_000001405.40 Homo sapiens | reverse complement strand
CCCTATTGCAAGGGCCTTACCCACTCAGTCCTCACAACAACCCTAGGAGGTAGGTACTGTTGTTATCCCCATTTTGCAGGTGGGAAACTGAGGCTCAGAGAGGCATGGTCACTTGTCCTAGATTCCACAGCTAATAGGTGGCAGTTCTGGTATCTGAATCCAGGCAGCCCAACACCAAAATGCCTGCACATAACCACTACTCCCAACTGGCTCATGTCACACCCCTGCTCAAAACATTCAGTGGCTCCCCATGGCCATTCTTGAGGCCGCCAGCTCTGTGATGGATAGTATCTGTGTGCCTGGAGGGACAGAACTGGCTCTTGGAGGAGTTTGCATTGTGCCAGCCCTAGACATTGTGCATCAGTGGCATAGGCAGAGGGGTTCTTGCAATTTGCCAACCAGCCAAGTGAATCGATTGTCCTCAGTGGGGTCCTGTTCCCAGAAGGGGCAGCAAGCGAGGGAGGGAGACACAGATAAGTTGTCCATTTCACATTTATCTCAGGGAGTGAGAGTTGAGATAGGGTCTCCTCGTACCACTGGTGTGGACAGAAAGAGCAACAGGGCAACAATGAACACTGGTGGTGGCCCTGGGGAATTTGGCCTTGCAGGGTGAAGTAATCATAATGTATGTTGCTTTTTAAAGGGGTGCCCAAGGAGCGCCCTGTCCTCAGACCTCCCTCGCTCAGGGATGTTTACCTGGAAGAACGAGAGGGCCCGATAACAAAGACATTGGGTTCTCGCCTCCAGGCCTCGAGACTGACTCTGTCCTAGCTGCTGTATCTTCAGGGGCTGAGGATGTTGAGAAAGTCAGAGGGAGGTTACCCAGGATAAGATAGAAGGCTCCAGACTACACAAGCCCTATTCTTTTAGAGTGAGCGGTGCAGAGTCCACGCATGAAGGTTTAGAGGCAGATCTGTGGTCCCTGAAGGAGGGATGAGTGTCCAGCTAGGACCCTTAGTGCTGGGGAGATTTCTGGGGGAAATCTCAGGGTGCGTTTTGCAAAGGACCCACCTTCTCTGGCATGAATGCCTGCTGTCAGAAGAGCTTGCTGTCTTTGGGTATCCATAAGCAGGGTCCATTCCCAGCCATGGCCCCTGTCCCCCAAGCCCAGTGACAGGGTCAAAACATCCACATCCTCAGGGAGGGCCTAACACAAATGAGAAGGACTGGCTGGAGGAGCAGTGGGTGCAGGGATTCCTGAGACATCATTGGCTCAGTGTGGCCAAGGGAGGCCTCAGAAGATGTTTTACATTTTTATTTTCTTTCTTTCTTTCTTTCTTCCTTTCTTTCTTTCTTTCTTTCTTTCTTTCTTTCTTTCTTTCTTTCTTTCTTTCTTTCTTTCTTTCTCTTTCTTTCTTTCTTTTTCTTTCCTTCCTTCCTTCCTTTCTTTCTTTCTTTTTCTTTCTTTCTTCTCCTTCCTTCCTTCCTTCCTTCCTTCCTTTCTTCCTTCCTTTCTCTTTCTTTCTGTTTTTTCTTTCTTTCTGTTTTTTCTTTCTTAGACCAAGTCTTGCTCTGTTGCCCAGGCTGGAGTACAGTGGCATGATCTCAGCTCACTGCAACCTCCATCTCCCCGGTTCAAGCAATTCTCCTGTCTCAGCCTCCCGAGTAGCTGGGACTACAAGTACACACCACCATGCCTGGCTAATTTTTGTATTTTTAGTAGAGACAAGGTTTCACCATATTGGTCAGGCTGGTCTCGAACTCCTGACCTCAGTGACCCACCCACCTCAGCCTCCCGAAGTGCTGGGATTACAGGCATGAGCCACCACACCCAGCCTAATTTCATTTTTTGATTGAGGTGAAATTCACATAACATAAAACTAACCATTTTAAGGTGTACAATCCCATGGTGCTTAGTACATCCACAAGGTTATGCAACCACTACCTCCATCTATAAAGGTTTTGAGGCTCCCTAGCAGGGCCAGGGCAGGTGCAGGAGCTGCTGCTGAGGGAAGGGAGCGAGGTTGTCTGCACGGGGAGTGAGAGGCAGGCCTCGGAGGATCTAGTAGACATGGCTTGGAAGAGGAATCCAGATGTGGGGTGGGTAAGAGTCACAGCCTTGAGTGCGGAGAGGTTGCTGAGGGAGAGCAACCAAGGCAAGTAAGAAGACCTCCAGCGGAAGCCAAGAGCCCCTTATGTTAATGGGAGGAGGAAATGGGCCAGGGCCAGAGGCTGCCAGCCTTCCACACAGGCCCAGGGAGGTGTGCTTTGAGACCAGCCTTTCTTCCCTCTGTTGTGGCCTGAGAAGTGTTGGGGGAGGAGGGTGCCAACTGGTGGAGGGAATTTCTCAGCTGCTAGGGATGGCTGGGCTACTTCCTGCCAAGGTCCTTTCTTCTTCTCTATTTCCCCAGCTATAGGGGACCCCACCACTGACTTCATTCTTCAAACTTTCTTTGAACAGGGATGCGCTTTGTAAGCCCTGCAGAACAACAGTAGTCCCGGTAGTTCTTGCAGTCAGGAGACCTGCACCTGCCCCAGGTGTCGGACTTTGAGGTTCCTAACTGGCGTTTCCCCCAGGGTGCGAGGGGCCCATCAGCCCAGAGCACATCTGGCCAGAGCTTGCCCTCTTCCTTCTGCCCCTGCTCTGGGTGCCTGGGATGCTAGAATTCCCAGCCCCAAAGCCTTAAGCATGCTTTCCAGGACCTGCCATGGCTGCCTCCCAGGGCCTGTCCTCCCAAGGGGCCAGCACTATCCTTGTGCACAGCCCTCGGCCCGAGGGGGCCCAAGGGTCAGCGTTCTTGTGGAGGGTGTGGATAGAGCTGGGATGTGCAAATTGGGGTATCTTTTGTGCGGTGCCCCTCAGAGGTTGGATGAGGGAAGTGGGCAGCTGGGGGCTTCTCCCCGGGCTGCCGTGTCCTGGTGTGGAATTCTGAGAGTCCAGCAGCCTTGCAGGGCTTCATGAGGGTGTATTTGTTAATGGAGGAGGATAGACATGTTTTATTTAATAGTCTGTTAGGTGTGTTTATCATTGTAATTATCTAGATATGTGGTAACTGCTCACTGATCATCTCGCCCTGTGCCCTGTCCATGTCAGGAGGGGCCCTGCCTGCAACCTCCTCACCAGGCTAGACTGTGATGGTTCCAGGCATGATTTTGAATGTGTTTCTTCACCTTAGAGCCTGCAATATGGTGATAGGGAATCCTTTCTTAGAAGAACAAACCTGCATGATGAGCTCGGTAAGTGATAGTTTGGTCAACCTTCCTAGCTCCTCCATCACTCCCTTGTACAGCACCTTTGTTGGAGGGCCAGGAATACAGACTTGTGTGTGTGTGTGTACGTGTGTGTGTGCATGTGTGTGTGCACATGCATGTGTGTGTGTATGCATGCATGTATGAGTGTGAACAGTTTCCCCCACTTTCGCCTAGGAACCCATTGTGTGTGCTCACATGGTGATAAGCCCTTGTGAAATCTCTAGAAATCCTCATCCAGCCTCAGGCTTAGATTCCAACTTGCCGGAGGACCCTGACCAAACCACAGTACAGTAAGCATCATGACAATTGCCACATCACCCCTATCTCCACCCTGTCACCAGCCTCCCCACCTCCACTGCCCCTACCTCAGACATTGCCACCACCCTCACCACTGTCATGACAAATTCCACATCATTAACAAAGAACTATTTGGGCATCTACTTTGTGCCAGACACTGTTCTAAGCACTTGGGGTACTCCACTGAACAAAATAGACGATGCCCCTGTAGAGCTTAGATTTTAGGGGGAAAGTGGGGAGACACAATAAGCCATAATAAATAAGGAAATTAAAATGTTAGAACTTGTTAAATGCTATGGAAAGAAGTAGAGAATGGTAAGAAGGATGGGGAGGTGAGGCCAGTGGGCAGGCTGCAGTTTCATACAGGTTGGTCAGGGACATTTGAATCAAAACGTGAAGGAGGTGAGAGAGGTGGCTGTGCTAGTCCACACCATTTACTGAGTGCTTTTTGCACACTCACAGTTTTTTTTTTTTTTCCCTCTCAGTCCCACAGGCTGCAACCTCCACCTCCCAGATTCAAGCGATTCTTGTGCCTCAGCCTCCCGAGTGGCTGGGATTACAAGCTCGCACCATATCCGGCTAATTTTTGTATTTTTAGTATTTTAGTAGAGATGGGGTTTCTCCGTGTTGGCCAGGCGCCTCTTAACTCCTGACCTCAAGTAATCCGCCCGCCTCTGCCTCCCACAGTGCTGGGATTACAGGCGCGAGCCACCTCACCCGGCGATACACCCACAGTTTTATGAAGAGGCCTCTGAAATAGACTGAAATGGCAAAGACTAAACTCCTTCAAGAGCGTTTTAACTCAGGCTCTAATCCGGTTAACATTTCATGGTGCTACTGAGAAGCATCGCCAGGTTTCTTTTACAATGCTGCCCCCTAGTGTTGAGTAAAAGCAGTGCAGGGTCAACACATTCCAAAGTGGTCAGGAATTCAAGATCCCACCGTGGGTGAGAATTACCCACCCACTCCCAGACAGTAGCACAGTAAATGTTCCAAAACACGGAAAAAAAAAATCATGACACAAACATGTTTTAAGTTAAAAAATCGGCCAAGGCCAAAAGTAAAAGGTACGGGACCAATCTGAGAATCTCACAATTGGCAAAAATATAAAATTGTATTTTATTAATCAGATTAATATTTTATGTGGATTAGTGATATTTATATATTTTAACCAAATAGAGTTTATAGTTTGGATGCAAGGAAAATTATCATCATGGTCACATTAAGAAAACCCAGAAAGGGCTGCTCTGCTGATGGAGTAGTCATTCTTTTATTCCTTTACTTCCCAATAAACTTGCTTTCATTTAAAAAAGCGAAAAGAATGAAAACCAAAAAGAACTGCCCTGTAGGCCGGGTGCAGTGGCTCATGCCTGTAATTCGAGCACTTTGGGAGGCCGAGGTGGGCGGATTACTTGAGGCCAGGAGTTTGAGACCAGTCTGGCCAACATGGTGAAACCCCATCTCTACTAAAAAGACAAAAATTAGCTGGGCATGGTGGCATGTGCCTGTAGTCCCAGCTACTCGAGAGGCTGAGGTGGGAGAATCGCTTGTACCCGGGAGGTGGAGGTTGCAGTGAGCCGAGATCGTGCCATTGCACTCCAGCCTGGGAGACAAGAGCAAAACTCCATCTCAAGAAAACTAAAACAAAAACAAACAAACAAAACAAAACAAAACAAACCCTATACTGTTAATGAGAATGGAAGGAATTATCACTTACTGCACATTTGCTGTGTGTCAAGTACTGTGTTGGTGCCTTCCATTCATTCCTTCTCAATTAAACTTTACAGTGTTCTAGAAGGGACGTATTATCACATTTTACCTGAAGCTCAAAGAGATTATGAATATCTTATGGTTGGTAGATGGGTACTGAAGCTCTAATTAACTAAATGTTATCTAGTCCCAAACCTAAAGTTCTCGTAAAACAGGTGTGATGAGCCTGCACAACACAGCAAGACCCCATATTTACAAAAATTTAGAAACATTAGCCAGGCAAGGTGGCGTGTTCCTGTAGTCCCAGCTATTCAGGAGACTGAAGGGGGAGGATCACATGAGGCCATGCACCACTGCACTCCAGCCTGTGCAACAGAGCAAGAACCTGTCTGAAAAAACAAGAAAAACAAATAGGTGTGATGGATTCTTCCTTAACCAGATAGAAAGTATGTCTTTTAAACCAAGAACCAACCTGCTACCCAATGTGGAGCTGGACACATCCTTAGTGGTATAAAATACATCCATCTCCACCCAGACATGAGCATCGCGTTTAATGGGAAAACATTAGAAGCATCTTCATATAAGTTTGGGATGAGAAAAGCCATCCACTACCACTGTACTGTTTAATATTCTAAAGGTCGATGCAATTAACCAAAAAAGAATGATTTTAGGAGTTTAAAAATTAGAAAAGAGGAGGAAAATCATCAACATCTGAGATGGTGTTACAATTGTGTACCCAGAAAATCCAAGAAAATAAAATGAAAAAATATTACACATAGCAAGGTAATCAGTAAAGTGGCAAGTACAAAATTAACATATGGAACAAAATAGCTTTCAAATAGCAACTAGTTAGAAGATACAGTGGAAGAAGAGGCCCCATTTACCATACCGGTAAAAAAGATGGAAGATATAGGCTTACATTTAATGTGAAAAGCGATTTGCCTAAGACTTCAAAAATGCTTCTGAGAAGTCAGAGACTTGGACAAAGGGAAAGGCAGACCCTGTTCTTGGATGGGAAAACTCAATACCATCAAAATCTCCCCAAGTTAATTTAAAAATTTAGGGTGACTAACAAAAAAATCAATAGAAACTTGATTTGGAGGAGCTAGATTCATTGCTTTTAAAGTTTCCATGGAAAAAATAAACATTCAGGAATAGCTTCGTGGTGACTACAATTAACGTCTTGTATATTTAAAAACTGCTAAGAGAGTAAGCTTCAAATGTTATCACCACAAAAATGAGAAATATGTGAAGTGATGGATATGTTGATTAGCTTGATTTAATCGTTTCAGTGTATACGTACATCAAAGCATCACATTGTACCTCATGAATATGTACAATTATTATTTGTTATTTAAAAAAAGAATAACTAGGAAACCTCTAGGGAGAATAATGAAGGACAGAACAATGCTACCAAATATTAGAATATGTTACAAAATTATAATGATTTAAACAGATTAGACAGATCGATGGAAGGTATTTGCAAAAGAAAGTTAAGGAATCAGACCCAATGCACATGGAATTTTACTACATAATAGAGGTGGAGTTTTAAATCAATAGGGGAAAAATAAGGATCATTGAAATCCGGGGATTTGGAGAATTGAGAGGCCACTTGGAAAAATGTGGAATTAGAGCTATACCTTTTATATTACACTAAAATTAATCCTGGATGGGTCAGACTTAATCTAAAAAGGAGTCTAAAAAGGGAACTCATAAAAGTGATAGAAGCAAGAGAGAATTCTTTTATAACCTCAGAGGCACAAAGGCCTTTCAAAGTATGATACAAAGCCCAGAAGCCATAAAAAATGATGGATTGGTTCCAAGCACCAGAGATAAGTGAGAAGCAAAAAGGACAAATAAAGATGTGTGCAAAATAAGAGGATGGCCCCGTTAACATGATTTTCAGTAACAAAGTCAATTTCATATCATGCCCGGCTGGGAGCACGTGAGGACCCTGAAATGTGGGTAGAAATTGGTAGAAGGAAACTGACATAGGGTTTATCTAAATATTTTTGGTTTTCCAGGCTCAGTGGCTTGTGTCTGTAATCTCAGCTACTCAGAAGGCTGAGGCCTTCCTCAAGTAAGGAGAATCACTTGAGGCCAGGTGTTTGAGACCAGCCTGGGCAACATAGTGAGACCCCATCTCTAAAAAAAAAAAAACAAAAAAACAGAAAATTAACTGGGCATGGGGCCATGTGCCTGCAATTCCAGCTACTCAAGGGGCTAAGGACAGAGGGTTGCTTGAGCCCAGTAGTTTGAGGCTCCTGTGAGATATAATCGTGCAACTGCACCCCAGCCTGGCTCTGGAATTAACAACCTCATCCAGCCTGGGTGACAGAGAGAGACCCCTTCTCTAAAAATAAGTAAGTATTTTTGGTTTAGGGAGATATGCTTTGTACCAAGAAGAGCCTCCTTCTAATTGGAACATGTCAGTAGGTGTTCAGTAAGCAACGCCTTGTATTCCCTCTCTTACAATAAAGGAAAACAGCCAACAGAGAGAAATGAACTAAATTGTTACTGAAAACCCGACATGATGAAGAGCCATTGTCCAGAGCACACGATGAGTATGAAGGGCAGAGCGTTTATACAGAACGGGAGATTACAAAGAACAGAAAGATCTGGCAGAGCGCTTACATCAACACACTTGCATTAAGAACGGCAATAAAACAGATTAGAGTACTGAGAACTCTCTGAGTTATGAGTAATATAAACTGTAAACGTAAACAGCCAGGAGAATGTTCGAAACCAGAAGCGAACCCCAGAGCTGGGCTTTAATCACACTCCTTCTCCGGGCCTTTCTAAACTGGAGGGAGACAACAAAGCCGTGATTGCTGGGGCTGATCTGCAGAGATGGGATCTGGGCCATGGTTATGGGTCCTGTCTTTTAAGAAAAGCAGCTTGAGAAATGATGAGGATGATGACATGGACAGTCGTGGCATTGGAGAGAGCAAAGGTGATGGTGTTTGGACTCCTGCCCTTCTTGAAATTTGTTACAAACCAGCAAACAATTCTCCTTTCTCCACCTAAGCATTGTCTAATTGGGCACCTGTCCCTTGAGGCTGAAAAATCCTGACTAGTAACTTGTCCACGATGTGGTACCATGTTTGATGTAGGCTTGAGGCTTGAGGTCACCCAGGAAGACACGACTCCTGTCTCAGTTCAGCTCCTTTTCACCATGGCACAGCACAGTTGGTTGCTTCTAAGGAAGGAGACACGTGTGTTGCTGAGATGGCTCCTGAGGCACCTGCAAGGAACCCCAGAATCCAGCAGGGTCCACCTTTAGAAAACGCATGCACCAGAAGGAGCAGGATCTGCAGATTTCCCTTTGTGGAGTGGTAATAGTTGCTCAAATGAAAACATGTTGGCACCATCCTCATCCTCTCCAGACATCATCAAAACCACACATATTTTGGCCATCATCAAGAATCCTTTGAGTAATTGACTGGATGCTCCTAGCTGTGCCAGAGAATCAGCTGGAAGTACACTCTGAGTCACCTACCTTACGAATGGGTCAATGTTTCAGCTACATTTTTTTTTTTCCTTAGGGATAGGGTCTCGCTCTGTCACCCAGGCTGGAGTGCAGTGGATAGATCATAGCTCACTGCAGCCTTGAACTGAGCTCAGCAATCCTCTAGCCCTAGCCTCCCGAGTAAGCTGGGATAACAGGCACACACAAATACAACTGGCTCATTAAAAACAATTTTGTTGTTGTTGTTTTGGAGACGGGGGTCTTGCTATATTGCCCAAGTTGTTCTTGAGCTCCTGGTCTCATGCCTGTAATCCCAGCACTTTGGGAGGCCAAAGGGGGAGCATGATCCACTGCATCCGGCCAGACCTAAACCTTTAGGCAGCACTGCCAGGTGAGCTGGGGGAATTCCTGGACACTGGTCCCTGAGGCGCTGCTGCTGCAGCTTTGAGAGGGGTCCACTCTCTTTGAAATGTGTGTAAATAGAGGCCCGGGCCTTACTGGATCCTGCAGTGCCACAACCCAGAACCTTCTCCAGGCGGGCAGCTAGGTGGTTTTGGTTACATGAATCAGTGTTCCAGATGGGTTTGGAAGTAAGTTTCCTCTTGGGCTGAGTTCCCAACTGCTTCGTCTTGGGGATGAAGTGAGGGAGGTGACCCCATCATGTGGGATGAGATGGGCATTACAGGGCGCCTAGCAGACCTATGCCTGGTGCAGTTCTGAGAGTGTCAGACAGGACATGAGCAGACCTAGTTTCCCGCCTGGCTTTGGAACTAACAGCCTCATCTCCATCTGGAAAATGAGATGCTTGGGCTAGAGTATGGGTTCCAAATATTTGGCTTATTAGTAATAGAGATTTTGTATATAAACTTGTATACAAACCCCTGCAAGTAGAGCTCCCTGGTAGCAGCTGGAGGTGTGTCCAGAGCACCCCACTGTCCCCACCATCATATCACATGTCACTGTCCCTACCGTCAGCTGGCAGTGCCTCTGCGGATCTCAGGATGCCTTAGAACACTGAACTTCAACCAGAGTGCCAGGTCCACAGGAGAGATTGACTGCTCCCAACACACAGGCTACTAGGTAGTTAGATAAAAATGAGAAATATAATGTCACTGTGATTAAAAACAAGAAACCCACGCCTCTGGATAAGAAATGGGAGAAGGTCACAGCTGAAAGCAGGAGCTCACACTTGTGGAGAGCTAAGAAGACAAGTGGGCTTAAGAGGGGCTGGGATAGCAAAGCTGCCCGGCAGGGGCTGAGCTGGCCACCCTGCACTGGCACGGGGCCAGGACCAGCTGCCTGATCATGGAAGGGGCTGAGAATGCTGCCCACACACCATGGGCTGTAGCCAGATTCTAGGCTGCTTGCCAGGAGCTGGGCAGAGGCCGCGGATGAGACAAGTGCTCAGTCCTGTGCCAGGTCCTAAAACCGCTCCACCCATTGGAATGTGGAGCCTAAGCTAAGCCACTACCATAAGACCTGCTTGGGAGCTAGGCACCCTGTAGATCCTTTAAAAAAAGAAGCCTTAAAACGGCCCTGAAGAGAGGTGTACCTGTGGGAAAGCCCTCCAGTGGAAAAGGGGCTGTCAAACATGAATTTCTAAACACATGATTCTAAAGACATGAGAAAATCTAGCACCAAGAATGACAGATCCACAAAAATAGAGGAATTTATGATTGAGGAAATAGACATAATAAAGCCATCTGAAAATGACATTAAGACTTTCAGGTTTAGATAAATACATGAAGAAAGAATAAAACATTAAAATAGATAAAAATAAACATGAAATTAAGTGAAATAATAATTTTTAGAAGTTAAAAACTCTCACATAAATAAAGGACAGCATAGTATCCATGAAATAATATGAAGTTGTGGGATAAGAAAGGCAGTTTTGAAATAGAAGAGGCAGATATGGGAGAAAAAAACCTCTTGGTTAGAAATCTGGGGTATGGGCCAGGTGCGGTGACTCACACCTGTAATCCTAGAACTTTAGGAGGCCCAGGCAGGTGGATCACCTGAGGTCAGGAATTTGAGACCAGCCTGGCCAACATGGCAAAACCCTGTCTCTACTAAAGATATAAAAATTAGCCAGGCGTGCTGGCACACACCTATAATCCCAGCTACTCGGGAGGCTGAGGTAGGAGAATTGCTTGAACCCAGGAGGCAGAGGCTGCAGTGAGCTGAGATTGCGCCACTGCACTCCAGCCTGAGAGACAGAGAGGCTCCGCCTCAAAAAAAAAAAAAAATCTGGGGTATGAAAATGCGGTCATAAAAAAACCCTCAGTAGAGTATAGATTGCTTTCAGTTGAAAGCATGGCTGGGAAATTAAAAGACAGGAGTGGGGGAAAATCCCAGGATTTAGTAATGATAATGGAGAAGCCAAGTATGAAGGAAAAGAGACAAGAGTTCAGTGGAGAAGTAATGTCCAAAGAGAGTTTTCCAGAAATCGAGACATGGCTCACTGAACTCCAAGCTGGAAACCTTGACAATTGCACCCCTAGACCTGCAGTGCAGCTGCAAAACATAAAGAGAAAAAACATTAATAAGACAGAGAGGAAAGACAGATAATGGACAAATAAATCACAGGCAGGTGACAGCAGGCTTCTAATCAGAAGCCACAGATGTCAGAGGAAATGAAGAACTATCTGTAAAATGGTAAGGGAAAAATTGTGATCATAGAATTCTATTCCCAGCCAAAGCATCATTCAATCGTGAGTGTAAAATAAAGACATTCTCAGACATTCAAGGAGTCAGAAAATAAGGAACTCATGGATCCTCACTGTGAGAATTAGAGAATATATTTCAGCAAGAAGAAAAATGAACTTTGGAAGGAGTGGGATGCAAGAAGCAACAATGAGCAAAGAGATTGGTAAGAAAATACATTGGTGATGCTAAACACTTTATTTCATCCCATCTAAGATGTTACCAATTATAAGATACACTGTTATGTAAGATATACTGCTACTTTATTAACTTCTAAGAAAAAAAATCAATTATAATTAAAGACAGAATTTAACCTCACGATCACAGGGAAGTTAAATAGTGAAACAATGTATATCTCATATATAATTGATAAATATGGTAAGTATTCACTCAAAATAATAACAATATAAATTATTATCATTATTGCTATGCCTTTTATTATGATATAACAATTATGATATAATAAAAGACTTAGCCATAATTATAATAATTTATGTGAACAAAAGAACAATTTATGTTTTAAAAGAAGTCAGAACTAAAACTGTAGATAAGAATGACATAGTTGCTGGTGGGAGCTAAGTTATGAGAAAAGGGAAAGAACTGAAAATTCCAAACCTTGTTTAAAAAGGGGGTACACTGTCTTGATTTGTGAGAAATATATGAAATTAAGATGCCTATGACAAATATGAAAGTAACTACTAAATGAATAAAACAAAAATATTTAAATTCCAAGCAGGCAGGGAGAACAAAAGGGAATAAAGAACGGATGTGCAACGCCAGTTAGAATGGTGATCATTCAAAAGTCAGGAAACAACAGATGCTGGCGAGGCTGTGCAGAAATAGAAACACTTTTACACTGTTGGTGGGAGTATAAATTAGTTCAACCATTGTGGAAGACAGTGTGGCGATTCCTCAAGGATCTGGAACCAGAAATTTGACCCAGCAGTCCCATTACTGAGTATATACCCAAGGAATTATAAATCATTCTACTGTAAAGACACATGCACACGTATGTTTATTGCAGCACTGTTCACAATAGCAAAGACTTGGAATCAACCCAAGTGCCCATCAATGACAGACTGGATAAAGAAAACATGGCACATATACACCATGGAATACTATGCTGCCATAAAAAAGAATGAGTTCATGTCCTTTGCAGGGACATGGATGAAGCTGGAAGCCATCAGTCTCAGCAAACTAACACAGGAACAGAAAACCAAACACCACATGTTCTCACTCATAAGCGGGAGTTGAACAGTGAGAACATGTGGACACAGGCAGGGGAACATCACATACCAGGGCCTGTCGGCGGGTGAAGGGCAAGGAGAGGGAGAGCATTAGGACAAACACCTAATGCATGTGGGGCTTAAAACCTAGATGACAGGCTGATGGGTGCAGCAAACCACCATGGCACATGTATACTTATGTAACAAACCTGCACATTCTGCACGCGTATCCCAGAACTTAAAGTAAAATAAAAAATAAAAATAAGATAAAAAAAGAAAGCATGTGCAATCTACCAGAAGTCAGAGAAGGAAAAAAAGTCAGCAAAGGGGAAGCAGGTTAAGTAGTAAACACAGCACTAAGTGACAGAAATAAGTCCAATGTAATGGTAATCACAATAAAAAATAAATAGGTGATAGACCCCTCATAGTCACCTAATCTAGATATCCAGATATTTTTGGATTAGAGCAAAAGCCACAATTACATGAAGTGTAGTTCTATGCTGTTTATGAGAAACATAAATCAAAAGACACTACAACATTAAAATGAAAGGGGCAACCACCAGGCCAATGTTAATGACACTAAAAAAGACAATGCAGCAATGCTAATATCAGACAAGATAAAATTTTAGGAAAAAAGGCAGTAAAAAAGACAAAGAGAGATGTCTCATACTGGAACAGTCCACCAAGAAAATACAACACAGGAACTTGTATGCTCCTAGAAGGATAGTCTCAGAACAATAAATAAATTATACAGTCACAAAAGAAATAGACACAGAATCAGAATTAGAGGTTTGGGGCCACATCTCTTAGAATAGATTAAAGCATTGAGAAAAAGAATATGGCCAGGCATGGTGGCTCATTCCTGTAATCCCAGCACTTTGGGAGGCTGGGGCTGGTGGATCACCTGAGGTCAGGAGTTAGAGACCAGCCTGGCCAACATGGTGAAACCCCATCTCTACTAAAAATATAAAAATTAGCTGGTGCGGTGGTGCATGCCTGTAATCCCAGCTACTCAGGAAGTTAAGGCAGAGAATTACTTGAACCGAGCAGGTGGAGGTTGTGAGCTGAGATTGTGCCACTGCACTGTAGCCTGGGCAACAGAGCGAGACTCTGTCTCAGACAAAAAAAAAAAAAAAAAAAAAAAAAAAAAAAGAAGGAAAGAAAAAAAGTAGATTGAAAGGAAAAGAAATAGAATCAGGATGGCCAATGAATGAATGAATAAGAAAATCAGGATTAATACACCTGAGCATAAAGGGAGGGGCTGAAAGGGGGAAGAGAGGAGAGAGAGGGAGGGAGGAGGGGAAGAGAAATGGAGAGAGAGAACAGAAATCTTTGACCCCATAGAAAGCATACATGTTTTTTAAACTTTTAGGTTCAGGGGTACATGTGCAGGTTTGTTTTACAGGTAAACCCATGTCATGGTGGTTTGCTGTACATATTATTTCATCGAACTCAGGTACTAAGCCTAGTACCCAATAGTTATATTTTCTGCTCCTCTTCCTCCTCCCATCCTCCCACCTCAAGTAGGCCCCAGTGTGTTTTGTTCTCCTGTTTGTGTCCTTGAGTTCTCATCATTTAGCTTCCACTTATAAGTGAGAACGATAAATAAATTATACAGTCACAAAAGAAATAGACACAGAATCAGAATTAGAGATTTG
This sequence comes from Homo sapiens, assembly GCF_000001405.40. Taxonomy (NCBI): domain Eukaryota; kingdom Metazoa; phylum Chordata; class Mammalia; order Primates; family Hominidae; genus Homo; species Homo sapiens. The sequence continues at coordinate 4,597,534 of NC_000020.11, read as the reverse complement.
GGGCCACATGCCTTAGTTTGCTAAGGATAACTGCCTCCAGCTCCATCCACGTTCCCACAAAAGACATTATCTTATTCTTTTTTATGGCTGTATAGTATTCCGCAGTGTATGTGTACCACATTTTCGTTATCCAATCTGTCATTATTGGGCATTTAGGCTGATTCTATGTCTTTGCTATTGTGAATAGTGCTTCAGTGAACATATGCGTGCATGTGTCTTTATGATAGAGTGATTTATGTTTTGGAGGGTATATACCCAGTAATGAGATTGCTGGGTTGAATGGTAGCTCTGTTTTTAGCTCTTTGTGGAGTCACCACACTGCTTTCCACAATGGTTGAACTAATTTACACTTCCACCAACACATACTCCCAGTGTATAAGCATTCCCTTCTCTCTGCAACCTCACCGGCATCTGTTATTTTTTGACTTTTAATAATAGCCATTCTGACTAGTGTGAGATGGTATCTCACTGTGGTTTCGATTTGGATTTCTCTAATGATCAGTGATATTGACCTTTTTTTCATATGCTTGTTGGCTGTGTGTATGTCTTCTTTTGAAAATGGTCTGTTCATGTCCTTTGCCCAATTTTTAATGGGGGTTGTTTTTCCCTTGTAAATTTGTTTAAGTTCCTTATAGATGCTGGATATTAGACCTTTGTCAGATGCATAGTTTGCAAATATTTTCTCCCATTCTTTAGGTTGTCTGTTTACTCTGTTGATAGTTTCTTTTGCTGTGCAGAAGCTCTTAAGTTTAATTAGATTCCATTTGTCAATTATTGAAAGCATACAGTTTTTTTCTCACAAGACCACATAAAACCTTTCCCAAAATTGACCATATATTGAGCTACAGAAGAAATTTCAACAGATTCTAAAGAATTCGTTTACAGACCACATTTTTCTGATCTCAATGAAATAAAATTGAAATAATTCAGGGATTAATAAGGAAAACATAATAGAAAATCTGAAGTATTTATCTTAGGCAATAATACCAATTTTACTTCGCCAAATTTGTGAGATGAAACTAAAGTGGTCCTTAGAGGTAAATTTTTTATTCTAAGATAAACTTGTTAGAAAAGAAAGACTAAAAATAAATTAAACTATTTGTTATGAGCTTTAATAACATCCAAAATATGCATGGGAGAGAAAGAAAAGCACTCTGAACATGTTAAACGGCTTTAAAAAATAATATTTAAAAAATGAAAACTTGTTGAATGAAGGTAAAATGAGCATTAGAGGTAAATTTATAGCCCAAATGTACATTTAAAAAGTATAATCTGAATCTAACAATGAGGAAAGAATTATAGGACATTCTGCAACTTATTTTCAAATGGTTCATATACATAAATAAAGATTTTTCATAGTCTCAGTGTTGACAAGGGCAAACAATTAGAAATAACTTAAATATCCACCCACAGGAGAATATGATGAGTAAATGAACAGTGATTACTTACACAATATAAAATAACAGCTATAAACATGAGTGAGTTACAGCTATACAGATCCCCACAGAAGAATCTCACAAACAGCCCAGGCACGGTGGCTCATGCCTGTAATCCCAGCACTTTGTAAGGCCAAGGTGGGTGGATCACCTGAGGTCAGGAGTTCGAGACCAGCTTGGCCAACATGGTGAAACTCCGTCCCTACTAAAAATACAAAAATTAGCCAGGCATGGTGGCACATGTCTGTAATCTCAGCTACTCGGGAGGCTGAGGCAGGAGAATAGCTTGAACCTGGGAGGCAGAGGTTGCAGTGCAGTGAGCAGACATGGCACCACTGCACTCCAGCCTGGGCGACAGAGCGAGACTCCTTCTCAAAAACAAAACCAGAAGAATGTCACAAACACAAGCAGAAAGCCAACTTGCAGAGGATTTCATGTGTTATGATGCATTCATTTATTAAAGTTTAAACATACTAGACAGTGTTTGAGGATGCATACATTTGTGGTGAATGTTGAAATGAATGCATGGGAACGGTGAATAGCAGATTCAAGATAATGTTCAGCTCTAGGGAACATGAGCAGGCAGACATGGTCCTGGAGGCATTCACAGGGGGTTTCAACTGCATTGCTTTAAGGTGTTACATTTTTAAGCTTGATGGTGGATACATGAGTGTAGATAAAATTATTATTTATGCTATTCTATAATTTTAACAATTATACCACAGATAATCACTACTACATTTGATGTATGTCTTTACAGTGTAAAATACACAGACATCACATATATATGTGTGCCATAACAAATCTGCCTTCTTAAAAGAAGTCTGTGTTTTAAATTTATCCTTTTATGCTCAAGAGTCTTGTTCTTGGCTGATTCCTGGACTAGAAGCCTATTAAATGCAACTGATAGCTGTCCGTGGCATAAATTAATAAGCAAACATTGGGTGTTTCATTTTTGTGTAATTGCTTACCAGGGCAGGGCTGGGCAAATGTGGAAGATCAGTTGGATATCTGAAAACACTATATGAAATGATATTCCACCTGGCACACTTTCGTCTAAAGAGTGTCTGGTTAGTTGAAGCAGAGTAACAGCATTTCATGTTCATTTCAGATTTTCTTCTGGGAAATTCAGCCCATTCAATTTAAGTAACTGGCTGCTGTATTCAACCTGCATCTACATCACATTGAATTTACTAAAATATATGTTTATAATGGACCTCATTTTATGCCAATGTACACAAAGTAGACTTCAATTTGTATCACAGCTGGGTTTAGGAGAAGCTGCATAAAAACTGAACTTTTATAAATTTAATGCCTTCTCCCCATTGATTTACATTACAATGTCAGATGCTTTGATTTCCTTTTTGAAGCTTTTTAGTAAAAGGTGAAAAGAGTGACACATTAGCAACAAAAATCTCTTTAAATGGCTAATGATCCATCAGAAGCTTTTCAATTGCTTTAGGTTCACTTTTAATGGAATCCTTTTCTAATATGTGTATTTATAGCTCCTATTCTCAAGACCCAGTCATCAAACCCTTCCACGTGTGAATAATTATCCATCTAATTACAATCACGTAATCCTGTTATCAGCCAGACTTGTTCTCATGTTATCGTTGATAAAGTGCCCATGAAGGTGATGTGAGGAGCCAAGCTCTTTGTGTCCTTCTGTGTGCCCAGGAGATGGGCAGAAAAATATGCAATTTCTCATGTTTTCAGTTTATGTTTTACCATGAGTTTGAAGGAATCTTCCTTGTGAAGCCTCAGTCTTTGCAATGATGGTTTACATTCTGAGCATCCTGTGGAAGGAACAGACTGTTCCAGCACCAGGAGGGGATCCGTCCAACCCGGGCAGAAGGATGGTGAATAAGGAATGTCAAGGAGCAGATTCCTACCCTTGAAGGAAGATTCACTTGAAAGTAATTTACTAAGGGGTAGGCCTCAGGAAAACCCAGGGAGTGAGGAATTGGGACTGGGAAGGGAAGGAGGCCAGGCGAGAGTGCAGAGTGGAGCTGCAGTGTGGCTCCTGCTTCCCCAACCACCTGTCATGATGAAGATCTGCCCTCGGGGGCTGTGATGGTTACTTTTATGTGCCAACTTGGCTGGGTCGCAGGTTGTCTGGATGTTTAGTCAAACATTCTGAGTGTTTCTGTGATAGGGTGTTTTTAGATGAGATTAACATTTAAATCAGTAAGGCTGATTGACCTCTGCAATGTGGGTGGGCCTTGTCCAATCCGCTCAAGGCCTGAATAGAACAATAATGTGGAACGTCCTCCAATTAAGAGGGAATTTCTCCTTCCCGACTACCTTCAAGTTGGGACATCAACTTGCTTCTTGCCTTTGGACTTGGACTGAAACATTGGCTCTTGAGCCTGGCAGCTTTAGGACTGGAACCAACCATGGGATCTCCTGGCTTGCCAATGCAGATCTTGGGACTTGTCAGCCTTCATGATCATGAGGCAATCCCTTATAATAAATCGATTTCTCTCTCTCATATATATATATGTACACACACATATATATGTATACACACACATGCATACATACATATACGTATATATACACACACGCATATGTATACATGTATATATGTAATCCCATAAGTTCTGTTTCTCTGGGGAACTCTAATATAGGTAAATACGTCCCCTGATCCCTGGCACTTCCAGGCTGCTGCATGTGGTCCAGGGAGGCTCCAGCAGCCTGGGACAGCCCTGCAACAGAGAAGCAAGAAGATGCTGGCTGTCTCCCCACAGAGAAGGCACGCAGAGGACAGGGGCACAGGAAGAAGGAGGGGCACCGAGGGAATGTGTGGAGGCACGGGTCTGCTACACACGTAGTAACTCACTAACCTTACACCAAATCAGGACGCAGATACTACAGTTATCCCCGTTTCATAGATGAGGAACCCGAGCATGAGGAGAGTCAGCAAGCCGTGGAGCTAACTCAGATCTTGACCGCTGCTTTGGAGGAAAGTTGTGAAATATCCTGCTGGGCTAGAGGTAAAGGGAGGAATAAGCAGTCATCAACACCCCTACGAGGCTGAGTTAATTCAAGGAGTCGAGCAAAAGAGGCAAGGGGAGGGGTAGCTGACAGCTGGGGGCAGAGGAGAAATGCTTGGACAGGGGATGCCGGGGAGAGCGGAGGACTCTGTCGCGCTGACCAGGGCATTCCCCAGCGTGGACTGCAGAAGGACTGCAGCAGAGACGATCTCTGCAGACAGGTCCTTTTCCTCACTGCCCTCAAACACCCAGCGTGGGCTGCTGCCCGCCGGGCCTAGGCTGGAACCAACCACAGGCTTCTCCGAGGACGCGAGGGTCTCAGCCGGCGGCGTTCCCGGCGTGGCCGCGAGAGGGCGCGCCAGCCTCGGGCACCGCCGGGGTCGCGTCCTCCGCGGGAAGCCTGGCAGCCGCGCGTCCACTCCAGGCTGCCTTGGGGAGGGGGTGCCCCGGGGCATTTCCTCAGAGCCCTCCAGCTCCGCCTCACTTTAGAGCACCGCCGCCCCTTTCTGCCCCCTTTCCCAGGTGGCAGCGTATGGGCGCGATTTAGACGGTATGGGACGTTGCCCTGCCCGCCACCCCCTGCCCTCATAGCCTAGTGCAAAGTCTGAAAAAGAAACTGGCCTTGGTGGGTCCTGAAAGATTGCAAATCTGGATAAGTAAACAAAATCTGAAGGCAGCCTCTTAAGTTTAAACCTGGGCCTTGCTTCTGTTTGCTTTGGCTTGAAAACGTTTGGGGGTGGGGCTAGGCGTCAAGATGGAGTGACTGTACCAGCATACCACATTAAAGGGACTGTGCGGTTCCTCCACACAACGGGAGGGTCCTTCCGCACGGAATACAACACCCCCACTATCGAAAGCAAGCCCCTCTTGAGGGCCACCTCCTCCAGGAAGCCCCCGCCCGCAGGAGGACCCTCTGAATGTTGGCATTACTGGCCTGCCCACTGGTCCCTCTGCCCATCCCAGGAGCAACGCCCTGGGAATGCCCCTGGCAGGGGCCAGTTCCTGTCTGTACCCGAGACCCTGAGCTCTTGCAAATTAGAGATGGTTATTCTTTCCCTACTAGGAATTGTAGGCTGGAGTCTACATAGAGTAAGAGAAGAAGGCCAATCACCGACCTGGAATTCCTAGCACCCCTTTGACCCGGCCTTCAGGTCAGAGCTGGCTGCGGGTAGATGGGCCATGGGGGAGATGGGCTTGAAACAATAATGCATAGGCCGTGGGGAAAAGGGAGAGAGAAATTAATGTCCCTTCCAGGTACTCTCCTGGACTGTAGAATGAATGTCTACAGAAGAGTATATGGTCTTATGGGGAAACTGAAGTCCAGAAAGGAGAATATTCCCAGCCAGGATCACACAAGCAATCAAACACCATTCAGATACAGTTAAATCGACTGGACCAACAATCCAAAGGTTTCCGTCCTGGAAGCTGTGTTGCTTTGGGCAACTTGTTTACACCACGGAGGCCTTCATTTCTGAATGTGTGAAACGGTGAAGTTCTGCGGTGTGCAGTGTAAAATGGGGCGGGTGTGTGTGTGCAAAAGCAACAACCCAGGTGTGCAGACCTGCCTCTGCCAGAGTGACCCTTCCCCTAACAGCATCTAACCCAAGAATGGGAGAATTGCTTGCTATGGAGAAATCTAAATATCACACATCAAACCCATAGGAAACATTAGAAAATATATAGTCATCTGCCTTGAAGGGCAGATACGTGAACTTTTTAACCCAGAGCAGTTGCTACCCAGCTAGCTTTGAAATTTACTGCTTTTGGTCAAAATATGCTCTTCAGCTAGTGCTTTCTTCTAGCTGGTTGTCTTCCTGCCTGCCCTGTGTCATAAAAAATGGGGGGCCCTTACTGCTTTATCAAGGGGAAGTCAAGACTGGGACTTCTAGTCCACAAGAAGAGAGGCACCACTGCTGCCTTCGCACAGGTTAACTTGGAAGACAAAGGAGCTTTGGCTAAGCTGGTGGAAACTATCAGGACCAATTACAGCGACAGATACGATGAGATCTGCTGTCACTGGGGAGGTAATGTCCTGGGTCCCAAGTCTGTGGCTCGCATCACCAAGCTAAAAAAGGCGAAGGCTAAAGAACTTGCGACTAAACTGGGTTAAATGTACGCTGTTGAGTTTTCTGTACATAAAAATAATTAAAATAATAGAAATTTTCCTTAAAAAAAGAAAATATATGGTCATCTCAATAAATCCTGAGCATAATCAATTACAACTCAGTCATCATTACTGAGAGGAAACTCATTGTAAACCAGGAGCAGAGGACCACTGCCTAGGACCATCAATGTACTTATACTGACTATTATAACAGCATTCTACTATAATCACAGTGAATGCCATTCCTGACATTTAAACAATAAAGGCATTGCTTTAGTCCCTTCGGGCTGCGATAATGAAATACCATCAACTGGGTAGCTTGTAAACAACAGAAATTTATTTCTTTCAGTTCTGAAGCCTGCAAAGTCCAAGATCAAGGCACTGGCAGATTCGGTGTCTGACAAGGAAGTCTCCTCCTTCCCCATGGATGGTACCTTCTTGCTGTGTCCTCTCATGTGGCAGGGGATAGCCGGCTCTCTGGGGTCTCTTTTATAAGAGCACTTATCCCAATCATGAGGGCTCCTCATGACCTAAGTATCTCCCAAAGGCCCCATCTCCTAATACTATCACCTTGGGGGTTAGGATTTCAACATTTAGATCACAGCAGGCATTCTCACTAAAACAAAAACCAGAAGGCAGAGTACTCTTTTAATTTGAAAATTTGGGAGTTCTGGTCATTTTAATAAGAAATGTTAGGAATAATATTTTTTAACACTTGGAAAAGAAGAGGATTTTTTAAAAAACACTGTCATTATTTGAAGATGTTATAATTTAACACAAGAAACGAAAAAAATCAATTGCAAATGCCGTGTTAAAAATGAGATTGTAAATTAGGTGGTTGGATACAAAAGCAATATCTTAGAAAAGTGTTTTTCTATGTGCCAACAATTATAACCTGGAAAGTAGAAAGGAAAATCTTCATTTGTAACAATAACAAAGTATGAAAAGCCTAAGCAAAAATGTAACCAAAAATGAGTAGGAACTCCAATTCTTTTTTAATGAAAAGTTTCACTGAGAAACTAGCTTGAAAAAAAAAACTTTAATAAGTACAACATCAAATTATGGTCCTGGTTAGGAAACCGCAAAAAATAACATTCTACAAATTCTTTTATATATCATTTGTAATTTTAAAATAGTTTTAATGAAAAGTCTTAATGGGACTTTCATGGGAAATCAGTGAAATAATTCTAAATTTCTCTTGTGTTACCCTGGAAGAAAAAAATAAGTAAGAACATTTTATTTAAAATGAGGGCAAACTTATACCAGATTAAAACATATCACAAAGCTGTACTAAATAGAACAGTATGAATCTGGACTAGGGGCTGATGGAAAAGTGGTAGAGAAAACATAACTCCAGGAATAATGTTAATATTAATTAATTGACTCATATGAAATTGATAATATAGTTTTGAGCCATGAAGACATCAATTTGATGGAGTTCAACCTAATATATAATGCAAGGATTATTTCACGTAGTTCATAATAGGTACTTTTTTTTTTTTTTTTGAGATGGAGTCTCACTTTGTTGCCCAGGCTCGAGTGCAATGGTGTGATCTCGGCCCACTGCAACTTCTGCCTCCCAGGTTCAAGTGATTCTCTTGCCTCAGCCTCCTGAGTAGCTGGGATTAAAGACATGCACAACCATGCCCGGCTAATTTTTGTATTTTTAGTAGAGATGAGGTTTCACCATGTTGGCCAGGCTGGTCTCGAATTCCTGACCTCAAGTGATCTGCCCACCTCAGCCTCCCAAAGTGCAGGGATTACAGGTGTGAGCCACTGCACCTGTCCCATCATAGCATTTTTAAGAAAAAATTGGAAAATGTTAATGTCTAATGGGGAGATGATTAAATATGTTTGGTTGCATTTTTATGTGACATATATGCAGTCATTAGAAACAGTTTTTTTTTTTTTTTTGAGATGGAGTCTCGTTCTGTCGCCCAGGCTGGAGTGCAGTGGCACTATCTGGGCTCACTGCGAGCTCCTCCTCCTGGGTTCATGCCATTCTCCTGCCTCAGCCTCCCAAGTAGCTGGGACTACAGGCGCCCGCCCAGCTAATTGTTTTTTTGTATTTTTAGTAGAGACGGGGTTTCACTGTGTTAGCCAGGATGGTCTTGATCTCCTGAACTCGTGATCCACCCGCCTTGGCCTCCCAAAGTGCTGGGATTACAGGTGTGAGCCACTGCACCCGGCCTACAGTTTTTAAATAGAATTCAACACTACAGAAAAAATACGACATTAATGAGAAGAAAACAGCATTTTGAATGGCATATGTCTTGTGATTCCAGTTTTTGGCAATATATTACATATAAAATTATTGAGTATATATTATCTCAGAAAATCCATCTCTTCTCCATTTATTTATGATGCTTCTCTTATGCATGGGAAAAGGCTGGAAAATCGCTATGTATATGCATATATGTCAATACATAAGTATATGCATATATGCAAATTCATGTTTGAATATTAAAATAAGAGCACGGATCCAAATGTGGATGATTACATATTAGGTAGTCTCAGCATGGGTCACTTTGGAGGGCTGTGATATGAGGGAAGTGGGAGCAGGAAAGGAGAGGGAGAAGAAAAGAAAAAAAGACTGAATTAACAAATTCCACAAAACTCCGTATTCTGTAGTTCCTTCACTCCTCCTGGGGGTGCAGAGGGGTGGGGTGAGATGTTCTGGTGCCCTCTGGCTCTACTCCCCTCTTTAAGGGGCTTGAGGGGCAGTGGGGAGAGGGCAAGGCATCTAATCATCAGGGGTCTCAGCCTCCTTTGGACCACAGACCCCTTTGACAATCTGGTGAAGCTTATGAAACCTTTTCAGAATTTTACCTTTAAAAAATAAAACATTTAGAACTGCAAAGGAAATCAATTACACTGAAAAACAGTTCTCAAAATACTTTTACAAAAACCAAATTGATGGGCAGGGCGTGGTGGCTCACGCCTGTAATCTTAGCACTTTGGGAGGCCAAGGCGGGCAGATCACTTGAGGCTAGGAGTTCAAGACCAACCTGGCCAACATAATGAAACCCCACCTCTACTAAAAATACAAAAATGAGCCGGGAGTGGTGGCTCACACCTGTAATCCTAGCTACTCGGGAGGCTGAGGTGAGTGGGAGAATCGCTTGAACCCGGGAGGTGGAGGTTGCAGTGAGCCAAACTTGCGCCATTGCACTCCAGCCTGGGCAACGGAGCAAGACCCTGTCTCAAAAAAAATTGATGACATAATAATAAATGTTCATGTTTATTTAAGTACTAAATAACCAGATCTAGCAGCCAGGTGGCTGTGATTTTTAAGTCCCATCTGAATGGAGGTGGCATTCTGAGGTATCTGCGCCAGCTGTCATGTGACTTGAAACTCCGGGATTTCTTTTAGTTATAGCCATGAATTCTGCCATCACTCCTGTGGCTTGTTGCTTCCATCGTCAAATGAAGGAAATGCCCAATTTCAGTTACAGAAAAGTGAAAACAAAAGGGTATAGTTTTTCCATCCATGTTTACCCAAATTCTATCCCTGGGTCCCAGATGAAGCATCTCTAACTGTTGTGACCCCTGAATTCCGGTGTCCTATTCTGGCTCCTCCAGGGCACTAGGAGACTGAGCCTTTTTCTGCTTTTGTTTTCCTGCCTGCAGGAAGCCATGCAGCAAGTTGTGTCCCTGACTCCTGGAGAAAGAAACAGCCGCATAATGTGGATTTGCTGTGCTGCGGTCCATGCCTTCCTTGGCCTTCTCTGGCCTGACAAGAATGGGAGAAGCATCAGGACGCTGTAGAATGCTGGAAGGTCTGAGACACGGACCTGGATGGACACATTTGTCCAAAACCTGAATTCCTTCTTACCACCCCAGTACACAGTCAGATCCTCCCTCAGGGCGGTTGTAGCTGCAGCCCACTCCAGGCCTGTTCAGTTGGTGCTTCTGGTTCCTTCCATTCCCAGGCCATCATGACATGGGAGTGGGAGGTGCCCTTTGCAGATAGCCAACTGCCGATTCCATGTTTTTTCTTCACTGTCCTGTTTTGTCCCCAGTTCTCAGAGGCCTGTTTTTCTTATGTAGCTTTTTAACTCAAGTCTGCATTTTACTAAAAGACTATGAAACCTACTTATAATTTTATTTTACCCCATCACTTTTTATGATTCAATAGGAATAATCCTATTTTGTTCCCTCTTTTCAGAGGCCTATATTTCTTACATACATTTTTAACTCAAGTCTGAATTTTACTAAGAGACTATGAAGTCCACTTATAATTTTATTTTATCCCATCACTTTTTATAACTCAATAGGAATTATCCTTTTAAAGGAACCCCAGGGATTCTCTGACACCTGTCACTAGAGTAGAGATAAAACATGTTTAATGGCTATGGGACCAGCTGCTATATCTCTTCTATCTTCATTAAGGACTCTACTTTTCTTCAATATAAAATGAATCTCTTTGTTCCCTTTTAATGCCTTGAATTCTATGTAGTCTGAAACTAATTTTGTTATTCTTGCCATTTTGCGTTTGCCTGATAAATCTTGACTTTTTTTAAATATTTATTTTTAACTTTTCAAAGTTAAAAATGGGTTTTGTTTTAGTTTGTCTCTTGACAGCACCATATAATTCGAGTTTCTATTTTAACCTAATAATTTCAGAGTCCTTCTTTAAAAACATTTTTATTGTTTTTTTCTTGTAACAGGAATGTAAGTTCACTATTGAGAAAACAGATAAGCAGAGAGAAGAAGAAAAAAGAATCTTTCTCTTTGATTTTGTTAACATCCCTGCAACTTTCCAATACACTCATTTTCTTTCTGAATTATGAAGATTCCATTCTTGCTGCTTGCCATGGAGGGCCTCACAAACATGATCTCTTGGGCTCTAAGGTGTGGTAAGAAGTGCCTCAGAAAGCCAGGGAGGGGCAGTTTGGACCAGATCTGTTCTTGGTTCAAAGAGGAACTTCTGTCTTCACTTCGACACTCATTTCCCTGTGTTCATCTTTTCCAGCCAGCTTCCTTCTCTTCTCTTCTTTTTTCTCTTTTCTTTTCTCTCTCTCCTTCCTTCCTTCCTTCCTTCCTTCCTTCCTTCCTTCCTTCCTTCTCCACTTCTTCTTTTAACATGGGATCTTGCTCTGTCACCCAGGCTGGAGTGCAGTCATGCCATCATAGTTCACTGCAGCCTCGAGCTCCCAGGCTCGAGCAATCCCCCTGCCTCGGCTTCCAGCTTCTTTCTTGTCATAGGATTGGAAAGATCATCACGTTCAAGATTAGGGTGAGAATCTAGGGAAATGGATCAATTAGGCAACTGTGGTGATCTTAAAGTATGCCCCCAAATTCTTTGACAATCTTCCCTTCAAAAGGCGTAAACTAATTATCTTTCCCTTGAAAGTGAGCTTGTTTTAGTGACTGGCCTCTAACTATGGAATGTGATGGAAATGCTGCTATGTGACTCCTGTGGCTAGGTCATCAAAAGGATAGTTTCAACCTAGCTCTCTCTCATCACTCATTCGGAGGTAAGCCAGCTGCCATGTCGTAAGGGCACTCAAGTATCCCTGGGAGGAGTCCACATAGAGAGGGGCTGAGGCTCTCCAGCAAGAGTCAGCACCAACTTGCCATCCAGTGAGTGAGCCACCTTGGAAATGGACCCTCCAGTTGAGCCTTCAGATGAGTCAGCCCCAGCTGAAATCTGATGTAACCTCATAAAATACCCTGAGACAGAACCACCCATCTAAGTTGCTTCAGAATTCTGAGTCACAGAAACTGTGAAAATAATAAAGCTTACTGTTGTTTTAAGCCACTAAGTTTGCAGTAATATGTTACTCAGAACTAAATAACTACTACAACAACCACTATGCCTTTAGTGTGTGTGTTTGAGTAAAGAAACAAGATGAGTTCCTGTGGCTGCTATGATCTAGCCTAATTTACAAGGGCTGGGGACTCCACAATGGAATTTGGGACTAGGGTGTCTTGGTAACAAACCAGGCTCATTTTCCTTGAGTGTCCATCAACCTAGATCTCTTGTGGATCTTGGGTGGCCCCTTCGCTGGTTGAAAGTACAAGAAACCATAGTCCCAGCTGTCTCATGGCTTCCCATAAGAAACATCACCAACCTCTGATATGTCTTACATTGGAGGCTTCTCTGTAGCCCCACTGCCACCTGGTCAAGGACTTATCTTAGGTTGGGATCTCCTATAAGCAAACCCTGAGATAAGAATCTGAGTATAAGTAGTTTATTTGGGAGATGATCTTAGAAGTTTCTGGTGGGGGAGTGGGGAAGTGAGACAGGGAAGGGAAGGCAGCCCTACAGGATGACTAAGGAGCAGATTAGTGGGCAGCTGAGGCTCAGTCATGCTGGGAACTTGGTGGTGCCCACCTGAGAGATGAGGAACCTGGAGTATTTATCATCTCTGCCCCTCTCTTGTTGAGGGTCATGCCTGGGGCTATTAACTCCTTAAGACTTCTGGTCTGCCCCGCACATAACCCTAGCATGGTTCAACAGTCAGAGAAAGCCCTCAGACAGTGAGATGCCCTGGGTATATACAGCAACAGTGAGAGCCGGTGGGCATGAGCAGGTTACTGACCACATCTGCTACAGAGCTCCATCCTATATCTGAATGATTGCAGCAGCCTCTCAACTGGTCTACTCCTCTTTGTTTTTTAACTTGGACCCTCTGATCTCTTGTCTACATAGAAACCCAGAGTGCAAATCTGATCAAATCACTAATTTCTTTTTTTGAATTAAATTAAAATTTTTTGGCCAGGCATGGTGGCTCACGCCTGTAATCCCAGCACTTTGAGAGGCCAAGGCAGGTGGATCTCTTGAGGTCAGGAGTTTGAGACCAGCCCGGCCAACATGGTGAAACTTCATCTCTAGTAAAAATACAAAAATCAGCTGGGCATGGCAGCGGGCACCTGTAATCCCAGCTACTCGGGAGGCTGAGGCAGGAGAATCTCTTGAACCCGTTAGGTGGAGGTTGCAGTGAGCCAAGATCAGGCTGCTGCACTCCAGCCTGGGCAACAGAGCCAGACTCTGTCTCAAAAAAAAAAAATTAACTTTTATTTTAAGGTAAGGAGTACAAATGCAGGTTTGTTACATAGGTAAACTTGTGTCATGGGGTTGTTTTGTACAGATTATCTCATCCCACAGGTATTAAGCCCTAGTACCCATTACTGATTTTTCTTGATCTTCTTCCTCCTTCTACCCTCCACCCACCGCCCTCCGATAGGCCCCAGTGTGTGTTGTTTCCCTCTATGTCTCCATGTGTTCCCATCATTTAGCTCCCAAACTTATAAGGGAGAACATGCAATATTTGATTTTCTGTTCCTGTATTAGTTTGCTAAGGATGATGGCCATATTTCTTAACACACGACACATTTCCCTGTTCCCTAAGGATGGAGTCCACATTCTTCACTAGCACCACACCTGTCATATCGAAACCATTTGGTGAACATTAACTTTTGTATCATTATTGTCATTGTTATTGTCATCATCGGCATCATCACCGTCATCATCATCACAGAGCATTAGGTGGAATACTCGTATCTCTGACTGGGAGGATCTCCTATTTCATGTTCTATCCACCCAGAACACACTTTCGTGAAGCCAGCAGCAGGTTTTCAGATATTTCATGCATTCTACCTTTATGACTGAATCATTACCTCTCTGAATGTCAGACTGTGTCTATTACTTCTTGTTTTTCCACCCTGCCTAGCCTAAGGATGGAAGCTTTAAGGGAACTTCATCATTTTTGGTTGAGATGTTCAATTAATTACCATCCCTTCCCATCTGATTCATAGTCAAGCCATCACCAAGTTCCATCAACCTCTTCCATCTCTTAAATCTGTCCACTTTTCCCCATCTCTAAGCAACCACCCAGCTCAGCTCCTTCATCTCTTGCCTGGATCACTGTGCTAGCTCCGTAATCATCATCCCTACATCCAGCATCACTTCTTCCCAATAGGTTCTCCACAAAGCAGCAGAAGTGACCTTTGAAAACCAACCCTAATCACATCAATTCACTTGTCTAAATGCCTCAGAGGTTTCTCATTGCTCTTAGAACAAAGCCTTAGTCATGTTCCTGCGCCAATGCCTACATGGATTGGCCTTTCTCCACCTCCCCTCCCACCTACCTTCCCTTCTGTGTTTGGATGCATGTGACACTGACTTTCTTACAGTCTCTCAAATGTTCCAGCATCCTTTCTAACCCAAAGGTTTTGAAAATACTGATTTCCCCATCTGGAATGTCCTCCTCATCCCTCTACTGCCAGTGCGTATCATCTTATTATCCAAATATCTGTTTCAATATTCTTTTCTTTTCTTTTTGTTTGGAGACAGAGTCTCGCTCTGTCCCCCAGGCTGGAGTTCAGTGGCACGATCTTGGCTCACTGCAACCTCCGCCTCCTGAGTTCAAGCGATTCTCATGCCTTAGCCTCCCGAGTAGCTGGGATTACAGGTGCCCACCACCACACCCTGCTAATTTTCATATTTTTAGTAGAGATGGGGTTTCACCATGGTGGCCAGGTGCATCTTGAACTCCTGACTTCAGGTGATCTGCCCGCCTCGGCCTCCCAAAGTGCTGGAATTACAGGCGTGAGCCACTGCACCTGGCCTCAATGTTATTTTCTTGGAGAATCCTTCACTGATTCCCCAGACAAGATCAAGTCCATTGCAGAAGCTATCTTAACACCTCATAATTTTCCTTAAAAACACTTGCTATTTGTAACTAAATTTTAGACTGTGGTTCCCCAGAAGCAGAGCTTAGATAGTTTGGGGGAGTGATCCCAGGGAACAGGAGGTGGAGACTGGAAAGACTGAGACATGACAGGAGGGAAAGTCAATCGAAAGTGTGTTAATGAGTTGGTCACTGCAGTAGGCTTGTCCTGCTAAGGACTCTCCAAAGAGCCATGTAGAATGAACCTCAAAAATGTCCACCTGCGGGACAAAAGAAAGGAGCATTTACATTGGCTCCTGTACCCTATCGGTGAAGTAGGGTACTAACTTCCACATTCTTCAGGTTGACATATGCATCAGAATGGGTGAATGGATTCCTGTTCTTTCACTGTAACTGCTCCAGAGAAACGCTGGAGCAGAAGACAAGCGGTGCTTGATATATTAATAGCTGAGGCAAGGTGCTGTCATCCCACCTGTGTGCAGTTGGTTGCTGCAGCAATAGCTGATGAAATGAATTGGCAGAGAGGATGTGAGAGAGTAGGTCTTGGGAGGTGTATTTGTTTTTGTGAGTATTGAATAATGAATAAAGATGAAAGCTTCTTGAGGGAGAGATCAGGCTTTTTTGCTCACTATCTTCAATACCAAGCACATAGCAGGTGTTCAATAAACATTTGTTAATGAATGATCTATTGATTAGGTCTTGGTACATTCAAAGCAAACTAGGAAATAAGTAGTGCTAAAGACTTCCAAGTTCCATTTAAATCAGGCTCCTGTTTTCATGTAGAGTCTGTGTCTAGGGCGTCAGGAATTGTTACAGCAGCTGGTGGCCTTGCTGAGCAGTTAGTACAAATGTCTTAAAGTTCCATGGAGGAGCAAGGACTGTGGACTCTTCCAGGAAAAGTGCCTGGTTCTATGCAATGAGAACCACATCGAAGAAATAGACTGTGATTACAAGATAAAAAGATAAACTTTGAAGTGAGATAAGGAAGAATTATTAGGAAACTAAACACACAACTGCAGATTTAAACCCCACTTCAGAGGCAGCATGACGCCTAAATAATACAGCTTAAAGCCAAATTAGTGATATGGACCACAAGCTTGAAAATGTGGAGGAAAATGACAAGCAAAGGGGGCAGCTGTGAAAGAGTAAGATACATACAGAAATGGAGACGTGACAGTGGGAAGAGCATTCCTATGCACTAATATTTCTGTTCTATTAAGGAGATAATGGATTCATTTTTCCTGATGTGAAGAAAGATATATTTCATGCAGATTGGAATCATTCAATAAGGGACCTATAACTAAATGTAGATTGTAAACAATTTTGAATTTTTTTTTTTTTGAGACGGAGTCTCGCTCTGTCACCCAGGCTAGAGTGCAGTGGCACGATCTCGGCTCACTGCAAGCTCTACCTCCTGGGTTTATGCTACTCTCCTGCCTCAGCCTCCTGAGTAGCTAGGACTACAGGCGCCCACCACCACGCCCAGCTAATTTTTTGTATTTTTGGTAAAGATGGGGTTTCACCATGTTAGCCAGGATGGTCTCGAGCTTTTGACCTCATGATCCACCTGTCTCAGCCTCCCAAAGTGCTGGGATTACAGGCATGAGCCACCGCATCCGGCCAACAATTTTGAATTTTTAGGATAAAGGAAAAATAAATACCCCAATAGGCCACTCACTCCCAAATTTAAAAAGTTGTCTTTAAGGGAAGAAAAACATCAAGCTGATCTAAATTTTCACTGTCAACTCTAAATGTCAGAAATAAATGATGTAATTTGGGCCTGGTGTGGTGGCTAAAGCCTGCAATCCCAGCACTTTGGGAGGCCAAGGAGGGTGGATCTCTTCAGGCCAGGAGTTCGAGACCAGCCTGCCCAACATGGTGAAACCTTGTCTCTACTAAAAATACAAAAATTAGCCGGGTATGGTGGTGTGCACCTATAATGCCAGCTACTACTCGGGAGGCTGAGGCATAAGAATCCCTTGAACCCAGGAGGTAGAGGTTGCAGTGAGCTGAGATTGCACCACTGCACTCCACCCTGGGCAACAGAGCCAGACTCTGTCTCAAAAAAGAAAGAAAAGAGGGAAGGAAGGAAGGAAAGAAGGAAGGAAGGAAGGCAGGCAGGCAGACAGGAAGGAAGGAGGGAAGGAAAGAAGGAAGGAAGGAAGGTAGGTCATGTGTATTTTATGAATGAAAATAACGCAAAATACTTCCTAAATTTCAGGGATTCAAAGATGCAGAATCAATGTGTCTATCTAAAGATGTGTTCTTATTGGCAGAAAAGCACAAAATAAAGAGCTAAAATTGGGGTAATCATAGCAAAGAAAAAGACTGAAACTGTTAAAAAATAGTTAAAATAGAGATGTCAAGCAATTATGGTATGTTTGATTATAAAGCTAAATGCAAATATAAAAAACCATTCTCTAAAAGGTATATAACATGAAAATAACCATGTCATAACAGTCATTTGCTTTTAAAACCCAGATTATATTAACAAAGATGGGAGGAAGACAAGCAAAAGTGTGGCTAAATTGGTGGTTTCAAAAAGCAACACTCAAATAATAAAATTTCCTTTTTGACTTTGGCAATTAGAGGCATAGAAGTTAAAGAGTGCCTTTGAAAAACTTTAGATGACTAATAGAGGAATAAAAATATTGAGAAACAAAATCATGAAGGGTAAAATTGATCATAAATATTTGTACAAAAAAAGAGACTATGCTTGCACCATAAAACAGAATTCAAAGTAGAAATAAAAATTGGCAACTTTAAGAGATTAAAGGAGAGTAAACATTTGGCATTTTGCATGATTTGGTTCACAGAAGCATTTTTAAATGCTTAGCCTAAACCATACACTAATTTGCACACATTTGGGATAATCTGTTAGTAGATTAACTCTGCTTTACCGTCTCTATTCCTTTGTTCATCAGTGTCACCTCAGGTTGGATCTTAGATTGGGACTTGGGTAGTTCAACCTATTGCACATTGAGTTAAGATTGTGGCAATTGTGTCAGACCACCGAAGGTATCAAATTTCATGGTTCACAGAGATGAGGAGACTGCCTAGTGTGTGGTTTTAATGAGAAAGTACAGAAAAAAATGAAAGAAGACAAATCATAAATATCAGTGTTAAATAAATTAAATTAAGATAAAATCCCATAGTTAAACATAAAAACTCTCAGATTGCATTAGAAATCCAATAATATTGCTTATCAGAAAAAAGCCACAAAAACCCCAAAAATTTAAATATAAGAGAATGAGAAAAATATGCCAAACAAATGAAAAAAAAGAAGGTAGAGGTAACAACTTTAATACAAAAAAATAAGAACTAGTAATAAAGGCATTAAGTGAAAAGAGAAGAGTTTAAAATTAATTTTTCCCCATTCGTTACTTTCTGGCTTTTAATCTGGGATCATTTCCTTCTATTTTAGGATATAGTAATTTGTAGCATTTTCTTTCATCATTTCAGTTGATGACAAATTCTGTCAATTTTTTTTGTGTCTGTAAATATCTTCGCTTCAGCTTCATCCTTGAATATTTTCACTAGATATAGTATTCTATATTGGAAGTTATTTTCTTTTAGTACTTAAAGATGCCACTTTGTTTTGCTTTCCATTATTTCTGTTCAACAGTGAGATATCAGTCTAATTGTTGCTCCTTTCAAGGTAATCTGTTATTTTCTCTTTGGTTTGTATCAATTTTACTACAATGTGCTTTAATATGTGTGGGCTCATTTTTGTTTATTCTGCTTGGGGTTTGTAGATACTCTTGAATCTGAGACTTAATGTCTTTCATCAGTTTTGAAAATTGTCAGCTATCATCTCTTCAGCTATTTCTGTGTCCTCTCTCTTCTCTTCCAATACACGTAGGTTAAACCTTCTCATTGTATATCTTACATCTTTTACACCCACTCCTCTATTTCATTCCTTTGTCTCTCTATGATTTATTCTGAATTTTTTTCTTTATGACTTCTATGCAGTTCCCTCATTTTTTATTGTTTGAGTCTAATCTGCAGTTAAATCTATGTGCATTGAGTTCTGAATACCAGTTACTTTGCTTCTCATTTCTAAAATTTCCATTTCTTCGTAGTTTTTAACTCTCTGACAAAATTTATGACATTTTCTCTCCTTGTATATCCCAAGTGTAGTTATTTAGAAATGTGTATCTGAAATCTTTGTTATCTAGAACTTCTTTGGGTATGTTTCTACTGTCTGTGGTTTTTCATTCACGTTGTTATGTTCCCTCATTTAGATGGTTATTTTTTTATTGACAGCCTGTCCTTGTTCATGAAAAATTACAGAAATAATTTGAGGACTAGGATAATGTTACCTTCATTCTGAGGGATTTATAATATTTTCTGGCAAAGGAATGAGGACCCCAGTAATCTGAGATCACGTTAGTTTAATTTTAGGGATTGAGATGATTTACAGCTAAGTTTAGTCTGTAAGAGGGAGGGTGGGTTTACTTCTAGCTGGCCTTTTCTCTTAAGGTATAGCCTTTTAAGGTTCTAACCAAAGTTGGAGTTTCACCGCTTATTGGGATTTGAACTTCAATTGTTGTCTTTTCAATTCCTTGGAGCTGAAAACACAGTTTAAATGTCTCTCAGTCACCTTTTCCAGAATTGGCACTCCTCTCCAGAGAAAAAACTCAGTTTTTTTTTCTCCTGTATTTTGACTCCACAATTCTTCACTAGTTTGTTAGCTCGCCAATGCCTTTCATCAGTTAATTCTTCTCCAGATTTTCTAGTAACTTTCAGTGTGATGGTTTGTCCAATTTACCTAGCATACGGGTGAGGTAACCACTTTCAACTTTTTAACTGTTGCTTCTGGCAAGAACTTCCATGTTTCTAAATAATATGTGTATATCACTTTTAAGATTTTACAAAATTATATCCCATCTTTCTTGCACAACCTTCCCTTCCAAATTTCCTTATTCAATCTTCTCAATATAGTTATGCAAAAAATCGATCAAACTGTTCAGAGAGTATTCTGCCTGTTCAGACATTATTCATTGTTTGACCAAATAATAAACTTTAATAATGTTTTCTCTCTTTTACAAATTTTAATGTTTTTCTGAAATTGATCGTTGTTGAGCTCATTTTAAGGTTTATTTAGTTTTTGCTGTGACTGCTAAGTATTTCCCCCTCCACGCCTTGACGTATCTGTGAAATGCCTGGTAAGCAGCCGGTGAGGCAGGAGTAGAATCAGAAGAATGTCATATCCCGGAGGTCTAATGCAGAAGGTATTTCAAGGAAAAGGGAGTGATCAGTTGTGTTACGTGCTAGTAATGGGTCAAATGAAATGAGGACTGAGAACTGACCAATGGATTTGGCCATGTGGAAGTCCTGAGTGACCTTGACAAGAGTAGAACATGAGAGACAAATGTCTGAATAGAAGGGATTCAAGTGAGAATGGAGGAAGAAAAATTACAGACAGTGACATAGACAACTTTTTAAGGAGTTTTGCTCTAAAGGGAGTAGAGAAATATGGAGAAGAATGTAGGTGCAAGGAAAGGATTTGTGGCAATCAGCCTCCAAGACGGCTCCCAGTGATCCCCACCTCCTTGTTTTCACACCTGTATTAGTCCATTTTCATGCTGCTGATAAAGACGTACACAAGACTGAGCAATTTACCAAAGAAAGAGGTTTAATGACTTACAGTTCCATATGGCTGAGGAGGCCTCACAATCATGGCAGAAGGCAAGGAGGAGCAAGTCATGTCTTACGTGGATGGCAGCAGGCAAAGAGAGAGATTGGGCAGGGAAACTCCCCCTTATAATACCATCGGGTCTCATGAGAATTATTCACTATCACAAGAACAGCATGGGAAAGACCTGCCCCCATGATTCAATTACCTCCCACCAGGTCCTTCCTACAACACATGGGAATTCAAGATGGAATTTGAGTGGGGACACAGCCAAACCCTATCAACACCCTTGTGTAGTCCCCTCTCGTGTTGTACCTGGGTTGGTGCATGTGGCCAATAGCATATGACAGAAGTCGTGGTATATCACTTCAAAAGTTAGGTTATAAAAGATGGCAGCTTCCATTTTAGATGCTCTTTTGCTTTTCTGCTCTCTTGGATCTTTCATTCTGTGAGAAAATATGTCATATTTTGAGTAGCCCTATGGGTAGGTCCACATGATGAGAAACTGAAGCCTCTAGCCAACAACCCATGAGGAGCCGAGGCCTGCCAGTAACCAGGTGAGGGAGCCTAGTGCAGATTCTCCAGCCCCAGCTGAGTCTTGAGATGACTACATGGAGGGCCCTGCATCAGAACCACCAGGATAAGCCACTCCCAGCATCCTGAGCTTTATAAATTCTGTGAGAGAATAAACATTTGCTGGTTTTAAGCTGCTACTTTGGGGGATAATTTGTTATGCAGCAATATAACTAATATTGATTTTTTTTGAGATGGGACAAAGAATAGTATATTTGTGGGTTGATGGGTAGAATTTAGTAATGAGGGAAAAGTTGATGTAGGAGAGAGAGAGGAGAATTTCCAGAGGGATGTTCTTCTGTAGGTAAGAGAAGATGCAACTTGATTTACCAGTGAAGAAGTTGACCTGATTTTAGGCAATTTTTCTATAGTAGCAGGTGGTAAGATGCAGGTAGATGGTTAGACGTGGTGGTGGGAGAAAAAAGTGGTTGAGAGGACTTACCTCTCAGTGTAGCATGTAATTAAGTGCCCACATTCTGTGGGGGAGACCTGAGTTCCAGTTCTGTCTCTGCTCTGTGCTACCTGTAAGATGCTGGGCAAATTATTAACCTCTTCAGGGCTTGATATGTAGGACATCTGCAAACATTTGTACTGTCAATCAATTCACAGGATTCAAGGGATGTTAGAGGACATCTAGTCCAAGATTTCTTTTTGTTTGTTTGTTTTGTTTTGAAACAGAGTCTTGCTCTGTTACCGAGGCTGGAGTGCAGTGGTGCAATCTTAGCTCACTGCAACCTCTGCCTCCCGGGTTCAAGCGATTCTCCTGCCCCAGCCTCCCAAGTAGCTGGGATTATAGGCATCCACCACTACGCCCGGCTCACTTTTGTATTTTTAGTAGAGACAGGCTTTCACCATGTTGGTCAGGCTGGTCTTGAACTCCTGACCTCAGGTGATCCGTCCGCCTCGACGTCCCAAAGTGCTGGGATTACAGGCATGAGCCACCATGCCCAGCCTAGTCCAATATTTATTTTGTTAACTCTGTGTTTGTGTATGTTTGTGCCAGAAAATTATCACTAAATAAACAGAATAAAATACATTGAATTGCAAAGAAAATTGACTAAACTCTATTTATTAAAATGTTAAGAGAAAATAAATTTGTAATATAGTCATATATGTGTTTCATGAATGCACATTAAAAATAAGATCTAGACACAGGTTTAAAAACTTCAGTTTTTGAAATTTTTGTATTTAAAAAAATTTTTTTTATAGAGACACGCTCTCCCTATGTTGCCTAGGCTGGTCTCGAACTCCTGGACTCAAACAGTCCTCCTGCCTTCCAAAGTGCTGGGATTACAGGCACGAGCCACTGTACCCAGCCAATCTTCAGTTTTTAAGTAGTAATGAGAATAAAAGATATTATAAAATATTTGCAGAATCCTTAATGTGACATAAAACGTCTGTGATTTCTATTGGCGACAGTCATGGATGGTATTAATACTAATTGCCTACATTCATCATTGAAGGACATGTTGAATTTCAGTTGGATGCTGACAAAAATAAAATTTTTTTCTATGCAAATTTTACCAATTCCCTCAATTCTGGGGCTGTAGATCACAAGTTGGGGACCCTGACCCGGGCCAATCCCTCTATCATATAAAGATGAGGAGACCGAGCCTTGGGATGCAAACTGTCAGGACTGCACACATACTCTATGGCTGACCTGGAGCAGGAACCCAATTCTTGTATCTCCCACTGCAGTGGCTTTTGATTACTCTCCTTAAAATGTTTCAAATGGAATGACTAAGTACTCCATGAACCGTAGCAGCTTTTACCTTCCTTTAAAATGATTCTCAGCATTTAAAGGGGCTTTACCAGAACCGATGACTGAGCAGATTAGGGGTTACTTATTTCTGTTTCCTGTGTTGATGAGGTTTTCCCTTCCCCTCCCCACCTCTCGAGGTCTCAGTGCCTCCCTGTCGTTTTCTTCCTCTGCTCCCTCTCTCCGTGGGTGTATTTCTGACTCTGCATCCTTTGCTTTGTGCTATCCTGGAGTTTCTCTCCATCTGTCACTTGGTTCTCCCCTCTTTCCCAGCAGATTTAGACGTCTAGGTGAAGGAGACTTGGAGAATTCTTGGACAAAGTCCCCTGAGGACATGGTAAGTAAGCTCACAGTGTGTGCGTCATCTGTTTGGCGCACTTGGAAACCCTGCATTAGCTCATTCACCACAAAGCAAATATATGCTAGCATCCCAGAAACTGGCCTAGAGCCTTTTTCACCCTCTGTTATAAATCCCCCTAGGTGGCATTGATAGATTTCAGGGGTTCCCACTGAGCCTTTTTCATTAAGATGTTATATTTTCCCCTTGGTCTCTGCCAAAATGTTTTGTAAGTACTTACAGGGGACAGCAAATAAAATGTTCATGTTTTTGTGTTCCTCCTTAGTGTAGTATCTTCTACCACAGATACCTTTTGGGCTATTGCTGGTACAGTTATCCAGGTAAAAGACAGAACCATGTCACGTGTTAAACAGTAGGATTTATCTCTTGTGTTAGGAATAGACCACTTAGATAAAACTCTCCCTTTTAAATGATATTAGAGCTTTCCTGTATACCAGGTTCATTTTTTTCCACATTGTTACTGAGTGGTTAGGTGGAGAGCACAGGAACATTTACACTCAGTCTCTAAACTCACAGTGCTCTCAAAAGACTCGGAGAGACACACTCGAAGCTGAATAATCATTTAATAGTTGCTTAATAAATTTGAAGTAAGTACAATAATGGCCCCCAAAGATGTGCACATCCTAATCCGTGAAAGCTGTGAAATGCTGGGTTACAAAACAAAAGGAATTAAGGCAAGAGACTCTGAAACAGGGAGATTATTTTCAATAACCGAGGTGAGCCTGATGTCATTATATGGGTTCTTAAAAGTGAAGAGGGGCCGGGCGAGGTGGCTATAATCCCAGCACTTTGGGAGGCTGAGGTGGGCAGATCACCTGAGGTCAGGAGTTCAAGACTGGCCTGGCCAACATGACAAAACCCCGTCTCTACTAAAAAAAAAAAAAAAAAAAAAAAAAAAAAAAAAAAAAAAAAAAAAAAAAAAAAAAAATTAGCCGGGTGTGGTGGCATGCGCCTGTAATCCCAGCTACTTGTACTTGGGAGGCTGAGGCAGGCAGAATTGCTTGAACCCGAGAGGCAGAGGTTGCGGTGAGCCAAGATTACGCCACTGCATCCAGCCTGGGCTACAGGCTCCGTCTCAAAACAAAACAAAACAAAAACAAAAACAAAAACAAAAAAAAAAAAAAAGAAGAGGAAGGCACACAAGATTGGAGAGATGTGAGAACCAGAAAAAAGGAAGGAAAAATACAAAATGTGAGAGGAGCTCAACCTGGCTTTGAACAATCAGAATAAGCAAGGAAATGGATTTTGCTCTAGAGGATCCAAAAAGGAACACAGTCCTGCTGGCGCGTTGATTTTACCTTAGTGAGACCCATGTCAGACTTCTGACATGCAGAATTGTTGGATAATAAATATATGTTTTTTAAGACGCTTGGTTTGTGATAACTTTTTATAGTAGCAGTAGAGACTAATGCAATAATAAAGACAAGGTGGTATGCAATCATGTTTCATGTGAGAAATATACACAATTTGCTATGTGTTCAATGCCACAGAATGGGATAATTTTGCCGTGTGTGTGGGGGTGTGTGTGTATGTGTGTCCAGTCGATGGGAATGTTTAGAAGTATGGTGGCATATTGAATTAATGGGTCCAAATGTTTACCCCTCCCTGTATTCACTCTTTGCTATGTAGCTCTGCATTCCTTCCCACTGAAGTTGGGGTGTATTTTTCTACCCTTAATTCTGGGCTTGGCCATGTGCCAAGTCCCTCTTTCCTAGTGGACATCACAGTTTTGCTGAAAGAAGCCGTTCCCCCTCACAGTTTTGTCTTTGTTACGTAACGACTCTAGCTGATAGGTCTTGATTGGTCCAAGTCAGTCATGGCAGTCTCATTCTTCTTACTTGGGATTGGTTCAAGGGTGGGCTTGTAACCTAGTTTTGACCAATGAGATGTCACTTCCCCTGGAGGTTTCTGGGAAAGTTTTTTGTTAATCCTGAAAAGGAGGGAGAAGAGGATCATTTCTTCACCTGGACACTGTCATTTCTGCATGTGACGTCTGGAACCTATGTATTCATCTTGGGACTTAAAAGAATTAAGGAGAGGACAGAGCTGATCTATTGTAAATGATGACATGCAACTGGGGAATGCTTTGTCCCTTGCGTTGTTTCAGAGTTACTGAATTACCGACTTGGAGGGGCTCCAATTTTGTGTTAGTCATGTAATACATTTTCTTATTGTCTAAGCCATTCTGAGTTGATGTTTCTGCTGTATAAAGCTGAAAATAGTTTTCAAATGCAAAATTTCACTTCTCTGGTTAAAACTTCTCAATGATTTCCCTATGCCCATAAAGGTCAAAAGCCACTGGCATGGCCTGTAAGGCCCCACCCCCTCGGGCTCCTGACTGCCTTCCTGCTTCCTCTCCTGTGCCTTGTTTCTCATCATCCTTGCCACCCTTTTTTAATGTGCCATGGTCCTCTTGCCTCAAGACTGTGGCAGATGCTATTCCCTATGGAAGAATGCTATTCCTTCTACTTTACATGGTAACCCTTGCTCCCTGCCCGCCTCCCACTTTTCAGCCAAAATTTCATTTCCTCAGGAAAGGCTTTCTTGCCACCCCAGAATAGATGAAGTTCCCTGGTCATAGGTGGCAGATGGAATTGTCCGTCTCAGCTCTTCACCCTTCCCTGTATCCTGACCCATTGCCATGTGACGTGGTTTGGATGTTCGTTCCCTCCACATCTTACACTGAAATGTCATTCCCAGTGTTGGAGGTGGGGCCTGGTGGGAGGTGTTTGGGTCATGGAGATGGATCCTTCATGAATGGCTTGATGCCTTCCTCATGTTAATGAGTGAGTTCTTGCTTGGTGAGTTCATGCAAGAGCTGCTTGTTTAAAGGAGACTGGCTTCTCCCCTCTCTCTTGCTCCCTCTGGCCATATGATACACAGGCTCTCCTTTTGCCTTCCACCATGATTGTAAACTTCCTGAGGCCCTCACCAGAAGCTGAGCAGATGCAGGTGGTACACTTTCTGTACAGCCTACAGAACTATGAGCCAAATAAACCATTTTCCATTATAAATTACCCAGTCTTAGGTATTACTTTATAGTAATCCAAATGGACTAACACACCATGTGACTTCACAACTCTTGCCTTTAAGGTGAAATGTGCATCCCAGCCCATTAGCTTTGGATTTGACTATGCGGCTTGCTTTTGGCCAGTGGAAGTGGCAGGATGCTGGTTCCCAAAAGGATTTAAGAAGCCTAATATGCCTCTTCTTGTTCCTTTTTGCTTCTGCCATTTTCATGAGAACATGCCATGGCTGGTCCACTGGTCCAAAGAGGATAAAATAGACATGGAGCAGAACTGGATCCAACCTGCTGCTTAGAGACACCCAATTGAGTCCAACCTAGATCAGGTAAAACCCAGCCAACCTGCAGATGTGTGAGCAAAATGACTGCTTATCATTATATACCACTGAAGTTGGGTGGCTGCTGCACAGTAAGAACACATCATAGCACATCCTGTACTTCCCTTTCTTGATATTATTAGAAAATGATCAATACAAAAGTTAGTCAGGTGTGGTAGTGTGTGGCTGTAATCCCAGCTACTCAGGGGGCTGAGGCAGGAGAATCACTTGAACCCGGGAGGCGGAGGTTGCAGTGAGCAGAGATTGCGCCATTGCACTCCAGCCTGGGTGACAGAGTGAGACTCCATCAAAAAAAGAGAAAATTATCAAACATAGAATGGAGGTAACTGCTAAAGATTTAACTATGATAATTTCTGTGATATATACGATTCTTTGGAAATGAAAAATTTGGAGGTTTTCATTTAGACAGTAGCTAAATATATTAATGCAAACATTTTATGGATTTTTAAGATAACTGAGTCCTGCCTTGTGATTTTTCAATGTCCTTATTCATTGTGTTTATGATCCTGCTGGTATCAGGCCAACTAAAGAATGAGGTGGATTTAATTTATAAGTGATCCTTCACAGCAGGGGTAAGCTGGTGAGTATTCTGGTGCACTGCGTGGTGGCAGTTTGCTCAACAATGGAGCAAAGTGGTAGAAGAATTTGATTGCAAAGCAAGGTTATGCTAAATTTAAAAAGATCTTGTGGCAGTCTTCATTACAATCGTAGTGGGAGCAATAATTTCATTTCAGCCGAATGGCTGACAGTTTATAGCATGTCTTTTGTGTAGATTCCATAATTGAATCCTGGAAGTCTGGGAAATTTTTTTTCTTTAAAAGGAGGTTCAAACATTTTTATTTTCAAGTTTAAGATCCCGTTCTTGGCTTATCAGGGCAATGAATCTTATTGAGTTGACTGAGAGGGGGAATTAACCTTTGAATTTGGAGAGTTAGAAAATAAAATAGCCCAACCTACAAGTGTATGTGCATGGGGCTGAAATCAAGACTTGGAAGTAGATTCTTTGAAAGGCAGATGCCTAATGCACTCTAGCATAGCCATCACCTCTGAGATGGCAAAGTTCTGGAGAATGCTCTGTGGGTGTCTGTGAGGGATGGAAAATGGTAGCAGTGGCCTGGAAGTCTCAGTAAAGTGCATCTGTTGCTGAGCTTACCACTGATGGCTGCAGTTGCTTCTATAGCTGAGCAGTGCACTGAATATGTGGTGGAGGACCAGCACGTGGCAGTGACATAGTTTGGATGTCCCACCTCCCAAATCCCATGTTGATGTAATCCCCATTGTTGAAGATGGGGCCTGGTAGTAAGTATATGGGTCATGGAAGCAGATCCCTTATGGCTTGGTGAGTGAGTGAGTGAGTTCTTGTGAGATCTGGTTGTGTAAAAATATATACCCTACCCCCTCCACTCTCTCTCTTGCTCCTCCTCTGGCCATGTGAGGTACTTCTCCGGCTCCACCTTCTGCCATAAGTAAAAGCTCACTGAGGCTTCCCTAGAAGCCAACCAGATGCTGGCACAATGCTTGTTCAGCCTGCAGAACTGTGAGCCAATTAAATCTCTTTTCTTTATAAATTACCCAGCCTCAGGTATTTCTTTATAGTAACGCAAGAGCAGCCTAATACAGGCAGCACAAACCAATGGCAGTAAAGATAACATCAGTTCAACAGACACCAGACAGAGCTCTTCCAGCCTGAAGTGGAATTCGATGGTTCTGCCATTTTGCACTGTGTAAGCTCAAGGGTTCTTTAATGAGTGATGTCAGTGAAGCCTCCAAAATGTGGTACTAGTCTCTCTACCAGTTTAGGGGAGCTGGTTCCAACCAGTTTAAGAAATAAAAAACTTCTACCTTGAGTGTGCAGAGGAGTTCATACCTATCAAACATGTAACTGTTGGGCTGAATAAGCATGATTTGTGACGTATTTTCAGGGAACAGCTCACCTTCTCTAGTAGGTAGAAGCTGTTTCTGATCCTTTGATGTTGTCCTACAGAGGAAGGTGATAAAGACTTGGCAAATACAGAGCTCTGACACACGAATATTATCGAAGTAACAGTTTTCTCTAGGCCTATGTTATCAACAGGAAACATTAGACTGAAGGATAGTCCCTGATGTGTTTATTTGGGCTTGTGAATTCTTGAGAAATGCACTTTGTTGGTACGGTGCTCTTCTCCTCCAGTTCAGAGTACTGCCAGACTGTGGGAGAAGCAGAAGTCAAGGGGGTGGGGTTTAGCAAGCCCCTCATGCTTCAATCATGCCACCCTCAAACTCCAGCAGAACTTCCACTTTATCTGATATGGTTGAAAAACTGCATCTAGCAACCTAAACCACCTAGCTGTAATTTCCAAGTTCTGGGCACAATGTTTTACTATGTCACTGGTGCCATCTGGGTTACACAATATTGGCAAAAATCAAACAAGCCCAGTTCAATTGCTCTTATATAAAAATGACCAATCCATAAACAAGCAAATGAATTAAAGACCTAGGAGAGCCTAAGCTCAGTGGGCCTGTCCAGGGATTAGCCCACCCTTTTGGATATGACCATGTAGCGGGGGAAGACCAAAAAGTTCTACTGGTACTGGCACTACTGTCAAATGGCTTTGGCCTCTCTGGGCCTGGTGGATATTTGCAGCAGGTGGACCCATCTCATGACCCTCCTTTAACTGTTTTCTCCCACCACTCCCTTGGCTTCTGGTTTCCCAGCTTTTCACCCCACTGGTAGGGTCTCCTTACTCTCTGGCAGAAACTCTCTTATTAAGCAGGTTTCCTTTCAAAATAACCCCAAGTCAACATTCCTATTTTGTGTGGCAGGCTGTCCCCAGCTGTTTTTACCTACATGAATCTAAGCCCTTTGCAATGTTCCTGGGGTGAGTTCTATCTTCCCACCTTTTGAATCTGGCCTGGCCTTCTGACTTGTTTGACCAGTAAAATACTCCAGAAATGACAGTGTGTCAGTTCTGAGCCTAGGCCTTCAGAGGCTGTCCTGGTTTCTTATTGCTGTGTAACAAATTGCCACACACATAGTGGCTTAAAACAGGAGCCATTTATTATCTCACACTTCTTTAGGTCAGAAGTGTGGGCTTGGCTTGTTCATCTGCTTTGGGACTCACAAAGCTAGAGTTAAGGTGTCAGCCAGGCTGGGCTGTTATCTGGGGAAGAAGCTTATTCCAAGCTTATTTGTTTTTTTAGACAAATTTAATTCCTTGCAGTTGTAGGACTGAGGTCCTTGTTTCCTTAATGGTTATCAGCCAGGAGCTGTTCTCTGCTTCCAGAGACCGCTGTATTCCTTGTCATGTGACCTCCATCTTCACATCAGCAGTTGTGTGTCAAGTTCTCATGCTTTGAAACTGACTTCCTCTTTTGCTACCAGCTGAAGAAAACTCTCTGCTTTTAGTGTTCATATGATTATATTAGGCTCACCCATATAATCTCTTTTGTTATTACTCAAAGTCAACTAATCAGTAACCGAATTACATCAAAAAATCCCTTTGGCTATGTATTATTACATAATTATGGGTATGCTATCTCATCATAGTCACAATACCAAGGATAATAGGATGAAATATCTTAGGGGGTTATTTCAGGATTCTATCTACCACAGTCCACCTCTGGTCCCCCAAATTCACATCTCTTCCATGTGCTAAATTCACTTACTCTTTCCCAAGGTCTTCAGGAGTCTCAATCCACTGCAGCATCAACTCAAATTAAAAATTACATCCAAATTAGCTCAGCAACTTTCTATATTCCTCTCCTCTCTGGCCCCAGATGACCACTATTCTACTCTCTTTCTGTGAGTTTGACTATTTCAGACACTTCATGTAAGTGGAATCATTCAGTATTTGTCCTATGGCTGGCTTATTTCACTTAGTGTAATGTCTTCCAGATTCACCCATGTTGTCGCAAATGGCTGAATTTTGTTATTTTTTAAAGGCTGAATAATATGCCATGTATATTTGTGTACTACATTTTCTTTATCCATTGATAGACACTTAGATTCTTTCCACATCTTGGCTACAATATTAATAATGCTGCAATAAACGTGTAAGTGTAGATATCTCTTGAAGAAGATATTGATATACATTATTTTGAATAAATACCCAGAAGGAGTGGGATTGCTAGATAACATAGTATTTATATTTTTAATTTTTTGAGGAACCTACCTATTGTTTTCCACAGTGGCTGCAGCTGCACCATTTTACATTCCCACCAACAGTGTATAATGGTTACAACTTCTCCACATTTTGTCGTTTTTTTTTCTCTCTCTATAAGGAGATGGAGACTCACTCTGTCACCCAGGCTGGAGTGCAGTGGCCCCATCTTGGCTCACTGTGACCTCCACCTCTCAGGTTCAAGTGATCCTCCTGTCTCAGCCTCCTGAGTAGCTGGGATTACAGGTGCATGCCACCGCACCTGGCTAATTTTTTTATTTTTAGTAGAGATGGGGTTTCACCATGTTGGCCAGGCTGGTCTTGAACTCCTGACCTCAGGTGATCCACCCACCTCAGCCTCCCAAAGTGCTGGGATTACAGGCATGAGCCACAGCGCCTGGTCTGTTGTTGTTTTTATAACAACCATCCCAACAAGTGAGAGATGATATCTCATTGTGGTTTTGATTTGCACATTTCTGATGATTAGTGATACTGAGCATTTTTTATATACCTCTTGGCCATTTGTATGTCTTCTTTGGATGAATACATTTTAGAAATCTGCTGTACAACATCATGTCTATCATTAGCAATATTGAGTTGTGTACTTAAACATTTAAGAGGGTGGATCTCATGTTAAGGATTCTTGCCACAATAAAAAAATAAATCTCATTTGGTCAAAGTCTAAATTCTCAAAATTTAAATCAAATGATGATGATTTATGAAATTTCATGGAGTATGCAAATTCATGGGTTACAATTCTCCTCCATCTGTGGACCTGTGAAACTAAAGGGACAAGTCATCTGCTCCCAACTGTCTCAACATATGATGGCAAGACCATGCGTAGATTAATAGTTATGGACATTCTGGTTCAAAAGGGTTGGTAGATGGGGAATGGAAGGCAAAAATGAAGTCACTGGTACAAAGCAGCTTTGAAATTTAGCCAGGAAAACCTTAGCCAAAATTCCTTGTTTAGGTTTCAAGCCCTGGGAATAATCCTCC
The DNA here is from genome assembly GCF_000001405.40 of Homo sapiens. Classification (NCBI taxonomy): domain Eukaryota; kingdom Metazoa; phylum Chordata; class Mammalia; order Primates; family Hominidae; genus Homo; species Homo sapiens. The sequence continues at coordinate 4,565,530 of NC_000020.11, read as the reverse complement.
ATGGCTCTTGGCTTTGCTCTGTGGGCCCTTGGCTCTGCATTCTGGTTCTTGGTTCTGCCCTATAAGTGATTCATTTTTCATAAAAGATAGCAAGTGGTTGAAGCATAGTAGTTTTATCAGCCTGCTTTGAACCAGTGGAAATTTGGAGGTTTGAAAGCCTTCCTTTGTGTTGCATTGTCTCTGTCCACTTCAATCAAGTTGGTAGTGTTTCTGCTGATATAATGTTCTCAAGAACTTTGTGAATCTCTTGTGGATGTCTTAAGGGTTTATTCCATTATGCTTGAGCCACATCACAAATATTTTCAAGATAATGTAATTTTGGCTTCTGCTGAGATGGATGAAGGACAATGATTTTAAACTTCTTGAGGCCCTTTGGTTTGATTGAGAATATCTGTGAAGAACACTCTTTATCGCTTGGAAAGTTACTGTGTAGTCGAGTACTTTGACCTTTTGATATTGTCCTTCTCAACTAGAAATATTTAGATGAGATCTGAGGTTTCAGCAAAGGGTCATACAGTCACAAACTCAGACTTTTCTCTACTTCACACTTTCAGCAACCATTTTGGACTTTTAGCATCTTTTGACATCTGGAGAGGCTGAGAATTTCCAAAGTCTTTCCAATTCCTTTTTGTTTAATAGTTCTTCCCTCAATTTATCTATCTGATCTTGTATTTTGCTATAAGGAATACAAAGAAGCCAGGTAACACCTTCAACACTTTGCTTGGGAATTTCCTTAGCTACACGTCCAAATTTATCACTTACATGTTATGTTTTCTACATGACTACAGAATACAATTTTGATAAGCATTTGCCAGTACATAACAGGGATCTCCCTTTCTCCCATTTTCAGTAACATGTTTCTCACTTTCTATTCAGCACTCACCATCAACATTCTTAAAGTCAAGATTTCCACCAATAGTCTGTTCATGGTGCTTGCAATTTCTTCACAGTTTCTCTTGGAAACTGGATCTGACTCCCATAAAGAAGCCCATGCTAACCTGCTAAAGAATAAGACCATACGGAAGAAAGATGAGTTGTTTAACTGGGGCCATTCTGGACTATCCAGCCTACAGCAAACCCGCCAGCTGACTGTAGATGCGGGAGCAAACCCAGCCAAGATCAGCCAAGATCAGCCAATCCCAGCAAAGACAAGAAGAACATCCTAGGTGGCCAATAAACTTTTGATCAAAATAAATCCTTTATGTTCTACACCACAGAAGTTTTGTGGCTGTTTTTTATGCAGCATTTTTGTGCAATAGATAATTGATACACATGAAATTTGTATGCCTTGAATTCTTGTACATTTGACATATTTTTGAAAGGGAGAGCAATTAGTTTCAAAAATAGCACAATTCTCTCTTTTCCCTCCCTCTTCTAGCTTAGGCTACCTTTAGAGTCCTCAGACCTGTGAAATACATTACTGTTCCCTATAATTGCAGGAATACACATCAGATCTCCAAGTGGTCACATTAAAGGTCTCATTTTTGGGGCTTGGATGAAGAGAAAAGCACCTTCATCCTTCCTTATTGTGGGGAAGCTTATGACAATGCTCGCTTGTAAGAAATCCTCCTTTCAAATCCTCTCCTTTTCTCCAACTATTCAATGCCCATTTTTTGGTCTCCTTTAGGGAAGGGGCTTGTCAGAAACTTTTAAAACTCAAATGTTGATCTGACAACTCATTTTGGAATGTATTATGATACCTTATTTGAAACTTCAATTTTAATATCCAGTTACACTTGAGTAATGTCTGTCTCCTCCACTAGGCTGTAGTTCCGTGAGACACAAACTCTTCTTGCTCGTGTCGCTGGCATCAGCACCAAGGACAGTACCAGACACATGCCTCACTCCACACTTACTTAATGAATCAATGTGAATAAACCTGTTATACATTATGTCATGAATATAAAATTCATAAATTGCCTATATTTCTTTTTCACAGAGCATGGATGTGGTCATTTTTCAACAAATCTTTTAACTCTTTTACGGAGTGCCACATTAAAGATCCCTTTTCAGAAATGCTTAGCAATGTGGGATCCCAGCTGATTTTCACACTCAAGTTATTGTTGCCTAGGAGAGGACACAATGAGGTAACTTTCATATAAAAGAGAAGTCTTCCCTAATAAGGCTTCTCTGAAAATTCTTCAACCTTAAAATCAAAGAACAAAACCAGAATGTAGTGTCTTACAAACATTAACAACATTTGTACTTTATTCTACCCACTTGTGTATGTAAGTGTCAACTCTGGCTCCTCTCTGGCTGGAACACCCTTCATGAGACTACCCAGTGGAGTAGGAATCAAGCTCCTTTGGTTCTAAATTTAAGGCAGCCCAATTAAAACATCTGACTCATCCAGGCTGTTCATGGGGAGCATTCTCACATTCATAAATTATGGAATGGGCTGTAGAGTCTCTGAACACTCCCTGGCAGCTGTTTTGGTATCTTTCTAGATAAGAAACAAATGCAGATTTTTCATCTTTTCAATTATTACCATCACTCATTATCATTCATATTACATAGCATGATTCATGTCTGGAGATCAAGAGAGCAGAAGGATTTTAAGGGCAAACTGTGAAAAGGAGAGTGAAAAAAGGAAGGGAGAAAGTCAAAGAGAGACCACAAGTTGAAGATCAGTGGGCTCTTTTTTCCAATGATGGCTGTTTTTTATTTGCTGATAAGCTGAGAGTTTAATTACTTTGGTAAACATTTATTTGTGAAGACTTGGTAACAGACTAATATATGACCCATTTTGGTTTCATCAAAGCCTCAAGCCCAAGGGATACTAGTCTATGGAGGACACTTAAGATATAAACAGCCAGTGGTTAGGGGCATAGTATGGTGGTCCTGGATATTTAGAAATCATCTTTAGCACACAGCTTCTGCCACAAAGGGGCTAAAAGAGTACATAATATTTCTCTTATATGATAGTTCAGATTATTTTTCAGGAAATATTTGCCCCTTTGCACCTCCAATTATAAGTGGAACATACTTCCCCACCTCCTTTGATGTTGAGTTAAGCTAGATAACTTTATGGGCCAGTGGGATGTTAGTGAACATGATGCAAGCAGAGGCTTGTACTGTGCTTGAAGCTTTGGGCTTGTCCTCTTTTGATTCTTCTATGAATAGGTCCTATCTCATCTCCTGGTTCAAAGGTAAGAGACATATAGAGTTGACCTGGACCCTACCATAGCTTGAAGCTGGGCCCAGTCATGCTTATCCTAGATCAGCTAAGCTATAGGTGTGTGAGAATAAATAACTCCTGTTTTAAACTACTGAGTATTGAAGTGACGTTTTATAACTGAAAATTTAGCTAGTTTATTTCCCATTTCTGGGAGAGAATCTCTAAATTTTTGGAATTTCCTGAGTGATAGGAGTGTCTTTGTTATTCATGGTGGGTCCCTTGGATCCCAGGTAAATTTATGCTAATGAGATGACTCAGGATGGGGTCTGGTCATACCAGAAAGACCAAGCATGTAATCAAAGGGTTGGAGCTTTGGTGATATCTGCCTGATCTTCTGATAAAAGAGAGGGTCTGGAAATCAAGTTTAATCATGTGGCCAATGAGTCAATCAATTATGCCTATGTAATGAAATTCCGAGGAAAACTCTGGACACCAAAGGTCTGGTGAGCTTCCCTGGCTGGTGATACACATCAATGTGACAGGAGAGTAACATCTTGAGGACACAGAAGTTACATGGTTGGAACCCTTCCAGACCTTACCCTATCAGTCTCTTCCTTTGGCTGGTCCCAAAATTGTATTGTTTATAATAAAATTATAGTTATAAGTATAGTGTTTTCCTGAGTTTTATGAGTTATTCTAGCAAATTCTTGCACTTGAGAGGGTAGGGGGAATCCCTGAATTTGTAGCCAGTTGATCAGAAGTGTGAATGGTCTGGGAACCCTGGAGTTTGCTGATGGTGTCTGAAGTGAAGTAGTCTTTTGGAAGACTATGCTCTTTATCTGTGAAATTTGATGTAACTCTGGGTCGTTAGCATAAGAATTGCATTCAGGTGGTTTGTTATATATCAATATCTGACTGATACACACTATCTACATAAAATGGTGATCAAATAAGATATGAGTGTGAAAATATTTATAAACCATACATGCAAAGCAGATTTAGGGAATTATTCTTGTAAGCTAACCATAAGTATGTGAATGTGTTCCCTTCCTGATAGGCAAGGCAGAGTCTAGTGATTCTTCAAGGTTTGATTCATCTGATATGTTCATCATGATGTCTCCTCTAATCTGCCACTTTTTGATTCATGGGGTTCTCTTGTGACTCTGATTACCTCCTGCCTTGATGATGGTTATATTCACGCATATATCTTATCCCTAACCTGAAACTGTAAACTTCTTGAAGTTAAAAGCCATGTCTGATGTCCAGGGATGCAGTGGATTGTGATGAACATTTCAGGTGATTGACACAACTTCTCTGTGCTGGATATTTTTTGTGTGCTACTTGGATACCTACTATCCTTTTCCACCTTGCTCTTTGCTCTGGGAGGCCCACCAGTATCGACTACCACAATCAGCTCTTGGACTCTCTGGTTACAGTTTGGGGTGAATTTGTTGCTCAAATTGTTCTAGCTTGAGGATGCAGAGAACTGGATGACTCATATTTTGCTGGTGGGAATATAAAATAATACAGCTGCTGTGGGAAATAACTTGACAATTTATTTAAAAACTAAACATGCAGCTGTCATATAACCCAGCAATTTCAATTCTGGGCATTTATCCCGGAGAAATGAAGACTTTGGTTTACATGAAAACCTGTACATAAATGGTTATAGCAACTCCAAACTGAAAACAACTCAGATGTCCTTCAATGATGAGGATTAAACAAGCTGTAGTGCATCCATACCATGTAATACTACTCAGTGATAAAAAGGGATGGCAACTGATACATCCAGCAACCTGGATTAATATCCAGACAGTTATGCTGAGCGATAAAAAGCCAACCTCAGAAGTTTACATACTATATTACTCCATTTATACAGCATTCTTGAAATGACAAAATTATAGAAGTGGAGAACAAATTAGTAGGTAGCTGGGAATTAAGGAGAGAATGGGAGTAGGAGGGAAATAGACGTGGCTATAAAAGGGCAACATGAAAGACACTTGTGATAAAAATGTTCCGTATCTTGACTGTGTCAATGTCAATATGCTGATTGTACTGTTGTACTATAGTTTTGTAAGATGTTACACTGGGGGAAACAGACAAAGGACCCATGGGATCACTCTGCCTTATTTCTTAGAACTGCATCTGAACCTACCGTTTTCTCAAAACAAAGAGTTTAATTTTAAAAAAGAAGCTAAAAATATTCCAGCCATTGGGAGCCCTTCAGTTGGCTCCTGTGTCCCTTTGACTTAATGTGGCTTTTTGCTCATTTTGCCAACTTTAACACCACATGAATCATTCTATTCTTCCTCCTTTATATGTCAGCAATCTCCTACACTAACAGGAAGAAATCTGACTCCCAATATCCACCCTCTAATTACTTAATGGTTCAGTACCAGTATACATGTCAACCAGTATCAGAATTGTGAACCCATAACCCCTTGGGAAACAACTTTATCGACTACAGTACCATGCTTATATAGAATCCCTTTTGCCTTTAGTCTTACAGTCTCCACTCATTTCCAAGGTTACTTAGGTCAGCATCTCCCCCTGCCCAAACGCACCCTTCAATAAGGGTATTTCACACATTTGTAATACAATTAGACTTTTTTTCCTCATAGTCTGCATTTCATCATGGGATCTCCCAACCTCTTAAGTAATTTTCTTTTAATTTGTGTATATTAATGTTCACTCTTTGTATCAAGTTCTATTTATCTGTCATTACAGCATCATACATAATAGTCACTCCCAAAATAATTCCCTGAGCTCCACCTATTCAAATCCTTCCTCTCATCTGAACCCTGGTAACCACAGACCTGTTTACCATCTCTATAGTTTTGCCTTTTCCAGAATGTCATATAAATGGAATCATATATTATGTAGGCTTTTAAAATTGGCTTTATAAGCTTAACAATGTGCTTTTAATCCATACATGTTTTGCTTGGCTTGTTTATTCCTGTTTATTGCTATTGTATTGATGTACCACAGTTTATCTATTTACCTATTGAAGGACATTTGGGTTGCTTTCAGTTTTCAGTGATTATGAGTAAAGCTGCTGTAAACATTCACATACAGGCTTTTATGTGGACATAAGTTTTCAAATCAGTTGGATGAATGCCTAGGATTGTGACTGTTGTATTGTATAATAAGACTATGTTTAGCTCTACAGAAAAACCTGCAAAACTCTCTTCTAAAGGGGTGGTACTATTTTGTATTTCCACCAACAATGAATGAGAGTTCATGTTGCTCTACAACCTTACTAGCACTTAATATTGTCAATATTTTCTATTTTAGCCACTCTAATAGGCACGCAGTGTCATTTCATGTTGGTTTACTTTGCAATTCTCTAATGACAAATAATATTAAACACCTTTTCATATGTTTATTTGCCATCTTTTTTGGTGAGATGTCTGTTCAGATCTTTTGCCCATTTTAAATATGGGATTGTTTTCTTACTGTTGAATTTTAAGAGTTTTTAATGTATTTTGGATACAAATCCCATATTAGGTATATGGCTTAAAAATAAGTCCTTCCAGTCTATGGCTTATCTTTGATCTCTTCACAGTGTCGTTTTTAGAGTAAAAGCCTTTAATTTTAATAAAGTCTAATTTAAACTCTTTCTTTCAATGAATTATGCTTTTAGTGAGTCTAAAAACTCATTAGCAAACTCAAGGCCACATAGATTTTTGTCCTATGTTTTCTTCTAGATGTTTTAAAGTATTACATTTCATATTTAGTTCTATCATTCATTTTGGGTTAATTGTTGTAAAAGGTATAATCAGTGCTTAGACTTTTTTTGTTTTTTCCATTTAGAAGTTCAATTGTTGCAAAACAATTTGTTGAAAAAATTATCCTTTTTCCATTGAATTGCCTTTGCTCCTTTTTCAAAGATTAGTTGACTAAATTTGTGTGAATCTATTTTAGGGGTCTCTATTTTGTTCCATTGATCTATGGGTCTGTTCTTTAACCAATACCACGCTGTCTTGATTACTGTGGATTTATAGTAAGTTTTGAATTCTGGTAGTGTCAGTCTTCCAACTTTGTTCTTCTTTAGTATCATGGTGTCTATTCTGGGTCTTTTGTCTTTCTCTATAAACTGTAGAATTAGTCTGACAATATATACCAAATAAGTTGCTGGAATTTTGATTGGGACTGTATTGGATCTATAGATCAAGTCAGGTGTTATCAAGAATTGACATCTTAACTATATTGAATCTTCCAATCCATGAACATGGAATATCTCTCCATTTAGTTAGATCTTGTATTTCTTTCATCAGAGTTTTATAGTTTTCTGCAAATAGATTATACACATATTTACCTAAGTATTTCATTTTTAGGGTGGTATTGTGATATTGCATTTTTAATATTAAATTTCAATTGGTTCATTGCTGGTGTACAGGAAGGTAATTGATTTTTATATATTAACTTTGTATGCTGTGACTTTGCTGTAATCAATAATTTTTTTTGTTGGTTTTTTGGGAATCAACAAAAAGCTCCTGATTATAGGTGTTTTTTTCAAAGACCATTTTATTTCTTCTTTCCCAATCTGTATACATTTTGTTACTTTTTTTTTTTTTTTTTGCACAAAGTAGGACTTTTAGTACATGCTGAATAGGACTGATGAGAGAAGACATCCTTTCTTTGTTTTCCATCTTAAGGAGAAAGTATGTGGTTTCTCATTATGAAGTATGATATTAGCAGGAGATACTGCAGTGCAGGTGTTGCTGTGTGCTCTCCTCTGTGTCCTCCAGCCATAGAACAGAGACAGCTTTATACCAGCTGCAGCCCTGAGTAGCCATCCCAACTCTTCTCAATGTTCTTATTTGAAGGCTTTTCTTCTAAAAACAACATTGCAGTTAATGTCTTGTACACTGAACATTGCCCAATCAGTAAGTAGATCTGTAAGGTATGGTCCTCATAACAGAATTGCTGGGTCGAAAATATACACATTTGTAATTTCAGTAGATATAGCCAAGTTGCCTTTTGCAATGTGCATTTCCACTGCAGTGCATGAAAATGACCATTTTCCACACACTTGCCAATATCATATGAGCCCATAGGCAAGTTACTAAATTATCTGTACTTTAGTTCCTTCATCTGTAAAAGGGGGTAATAATGAGATTCACCTCATGGAGTTACTGTGAGCACTAAAGATGTGTTAAGTATTTGCATCAGTGCCGGGCACATAGTACATGTTCTATAATTACTAGTAATTATTCTTACAATTGTCAAATGTTTTGATATCTGACAATGTGGGTGGTGAAAAGTAGTACATTTTGTTGTAGTAGTTTAAATTAACATTTATATTAAGTGAGATTAGGCGTTGTTTCAATTGTTTTAAAACCATTTGCACTTCTTTTTTGTGAATTGCTGGTGCAAATCCTTTTACACACACATATCGCTTCTGCTCATGTGCCATTGGCTAGAATTAGTCATGTGGTTACCCCTAGATACAAAGATGGTACTGCTTGGAAATATAGTGCATTGGGCTGCCTCTTTACAGTGACCGTTTCATACTGTGATTTGTTTCCATATTTGTGCCTACCCCCACTTTTTTGGACTAAGATAGCTGACAGTTTATTTAATTTCGCATTTTTTCAAACAATTAGTTAATAAAGTAATTTATTAATTTTATTATTTTTTGTTTTTCTATTTTAAATTTATGTTTCTGTTTTATATTAAATTTTTCTTTCAATATGTAATGTTTAGGTTTATTTTGATATTTTTCAATACTTGTGACTGGGACCTTTATTTATTTTCATTTGATCTCAATTATTAATATATTGAAGGCTAAAAGTTTCCTCTGAACACTGCTTTAGCTATGTCTCATATGTTATCATATATCTTCATATTCTACACAATTGTCAGTTCTGAAATTTTCTTTTTTAGTTCAGAATTATTTAAATGAAAAAAATTAAATTTTTTATTTTATTGTACATTTCTAGATGTATTGCATTAGTATCAGAGAATGGTATTTGATTACAGCTCTAATTGTGTCTTATTTGAATCAACTGTTCTAATATAGAGTTATTTTATAAATATTCTATGGGTACCTAAAAAGATAAAAAGTTTATTTCCAAGGATCACACACAAACATACACACACATAAAGTTTTTATCTATTTTACATGTATATATAGTATGTGTGTGTTGTATATATACGTAAAATAACTGATAAGAGGTGTGACATGAACTCACCTTAAAATCACTAAAGCAGGCTACAAACCAGAAAGGGGATTAAAAGAGGGGTCATAGAAAGAATCTTCACATGAGTACTAAACTTCCTGGAAGTTGACATATATTTATTTTCTCTGCTGTTATTGGCTAATTGTGGCTTTGGCTCTTTAGAAGCTAACCAAGCTCACTGATATCAGTATGTTTACACTGCTGTATAAATTTCAATATACTTAATAATATAGTCTTTGCTTAAGAACCTTTCTAGGTCTCTTGTTGAGAGGTATATATCCAAAATTCATTTAGGTAGAGACTTGTCTCTGTGTTCCAAATAAATGAAATGTCTATTTTAATGGCAATTATCCTGGATAGAGGCGTACATTGACTTGGTCAAGGAGTAAATGTTGAGCAAATTTTGCCATGAGCCAAAAAGTTTTATCCCAGAAATAGTCTTACCAAAGGGTCAAGACATACATTGAATTTGCTGGAACAGCAGCCTAAGCCCAACAAAGCTTTGGCTAAAGCTTATGAGTAATTCTGCTATCATTTCCTGTTTATAATCACCAGAGTAGAAAGGCGACCTCGGTGACCGAGTGAATCCATCCACGCCTAGACAGGGCCGAAAGAATCATGAGCAGCATCCAGAGACTGCATGAACTCTGCGTCTAACTGAGGGTAAAGGGAAGATGAGATTCTTGGATAATTCCCTTTCTTGATGCCCTAAATTGCATCTTATTGCAAATAAAGAAATCATAATTGGTCTGGTTTAGAAGGGAGAGGCAGCTTCAATTATGTAATTATGTCAGATCTAACAGCAAAGAGAAATTACATCAAGCGTAAGCTTCCTCCAAAGACCAGTTTAGAGTTCTCTAGTGTCATAAGAGTAGCCTCCCTTAGAGTTGCAGGTGATTAGTTAGAATAACCAAGAAAAGGGAGTGAAAATGGACTTTAAGGTCTAAAAGGAAACTTGCCTGACCAGTGGTGTGGATCCTTGGAACTGTGAGGGGCCCATAAAGTGGGATAACCCAGTCTGGATTCTTAAAATCATTTGGTGATCTGAGAGGTGGTTGTATATATGAACTGAAAAATCTTAGCAAGTAAAAACTGCAAATTTGGGACACAAATAGGACAGAAAAACCCAGAAGGGAGATGGTACATACTGTACTAATAAGGCAAGTGGGTCTTGGCTATTATTTGTAAACTTGAATGAAATATTCTTATTTTCTTCAAGAGTTTGTGGAGCAGTTCTCACCGATTAACTTATTTCCATTGATTCTCTTGGCCATTAGTTGTTAACTTTTTTAAAAGAGCCATGGACCCCTTTTCCTCCTGCATATGATTATCCAGTTTAGAATTATGTGGGAAATTATCTTCAGTATATCCATCTAAATGTAAAAGTTTGTCTATAATTTCAGGGGGCTCCAACAATGCCTGAAACTTATCCTTGGACCTCGAGTTAAGGCCATTTTCTTTAGGAGGCAAGCAAGATTAATATTATTATTTCTGCCTTACCAATGAAGAAACGGAAACCCAGAGTTGTCAAGTGACTTGTTTTAGGTAACACAGCAATGTAGTGTCAGATTTTAGACCAGAACCTAGACTTCGTGTTCCTTGTCACCACAGCATCCCTTGGAATGCAATCAGTATCCGTCTAGCAAAAACCACCAGGAGTGTACACCTTTACTGGAGCATGCTGACGTCATGTGAGAAATGCTTCTGGTGTAGATTTTTTTATGAGAGAGTTGAGGCTGGAGCAGGCTGCGTTGCATTCTGCTTAATTTCTTCATCAATAACCTTGCTGGACTTGCCAGTCCTTGCAAACACTGAGAAATTGGCTTGTCTTTGAATTTTTTATTGCATTATTATGCTCCCAATCGATATGTGAATCTCTACAGTCCTCCTGCCCTTGGAGAAGGATACATCAGAAGACATTTGTATTCTGAATTCTGCCTTGCATTTGTTTGCTGGGAGAGAGCTGGAGAGCCAGGGCTTGCTGGGAGACAGGAGAAACTTTCGTTGTGCTTGCTATCTTGCCTCTCTGTTATGTACATCCTTGTCACAGCACAACTGGCCTTTCTGTTCGAAAAGAAGTCAGAAATGTCCAGGAGCTCATTTGTGTAGGTGAGCAATTTGCCTTTGATAGTCTTTTGCCTCCTACTTAGACATCCTACCATCTTCTAGGGTTCTTCCCCACTCCCCACCACATACCTCTCTCTCAATCAACTGGTAACTGACATTTGTGTAGGTGTTAATAATGGATTAGACCTTTATCTGTTCAATCTTATAGGAATGTTTACATGTTAATAAGGGGCTTATGGAAAGCATCAATAATAGTGCTCCATTATGGGCTGACAGGCAGTGTGACAAGCAGCAGACAGATTTGGGAATTCCCTGATCCCATCTGGAATCCCCTGAATAACATATCAGGAGTCCCCTTTTCTTCTATGCATAAGAAAGTCCTTACTTATGGAAGATAGTATGGTGGTTCACTTGCCTCCATTACAACCCTTCCCATTACATAAATGCTGAAAAGCTAGAAACAATAATTTCTGCACCACCTTAGAGTTAGAGTTCCAGCTATGTTTAGGCTCCACCAATTAGGTGAATTTGTGCAACCCAGAGACATGGAAAGAAAAGGAAGGGTGTGGGGAGTCTCTTTTGCTGGTGGGGATTGTGGTAGAAGTGGCATAATTTTAGAGCAGTAGTATAGCTTTCCTGGTCATGTCAGGTTAGATGCTCATTCAATAAGTGACAGTGTTAGGAGTTTTCTGATCTATCAGTTGCTGCAACAGGATAAAGTGGCTCTGCAGAAACAACTGGATGCTCAGTCTAGAGTATTTTCTCTTGACCTTTCAAACAATTTTGGGAGCACCAAATCCCCTGCTTCAAGTCCCTTGCTGGTGACACTACCTAATGTGGATCTCTTGCATGCACCCAAACCCGGATCAGTTCTGGTTTGGGCACCAGAAATGGCTGCAGACAACAGATTTCCAAGGCAATGAGAATCTGGATTTGGCAATCTGACCTGGTTGGATTTGAAGAGAACATGGACCCAGTTGCATATCTTTAAGTGGACAACTACATTTTTTATTATAAATTTTAATAGAATAAATAAAATAAAAAGGATGTAATTTCTAGCATATTGTAAATGTTGCATTGAGATTTCAAAATATAATAGCCCCATCATTCTTTTAAATGTATCCAATGGAATCTAGCTACCATGGTGATTTATTATCCTTAATTGTTCACTTTTAAAAGTACACAAAGTCCTCCTTAACAGTTAGAAATGGTATAATGTTTATATTTCCTCCTTGAGTTTATATTTCCATTTCATATCTACCATAAATTATGTCCTCATAAGTATGTATTTTATGCTCAAATATTTGTATTGTTAGCCCTAATATATTTCATTGCCAAAAAAAGTTTATAAAATGAAATTTTAATTGTTTGATATTTTCTGTGATCATAAAAATCCTCAAGTTCTAGAATTTACCTATATATTGTTATTATTACAATTATTAGTATATATAATTAATCAAAAGAGTATAAATACATTACACATTAAATAAGTAATTATTAAACATAAAAATTGATGCTATTGGAAACATTTCTCTCAATGAGATGAATGAAGCTAGTTTTTTCCATTTAGGTTATGTTCACATGAATGAATGTTACTGCTACTAGAATGAGAGAGTTTCATCATCAATTCTATTTCATTTTTAATTTTTATATATGTAACCACTAAAAAACTTTATTTACATAAATAAGTAGATGGGAATGAAAGGAATTTTGTCATAGCAGTGTCATTCAATTCTCTGAATGCCTTCCTAAAATAAAATGGCTCTTAAAATTATTTTAATGACTATTGAAAAATTCTACTGGTTTTCCTTCAGTTTTTTAAACAAAAAAGTAAGAATCTCCTAATCTGTAAAGGGGGGTAAAAAAGAAAATTGTTGCCGAGTCATCAGATTCATCCACTTTCTCAATTGCTGGGCAATCATTTCCAGACTTACAAATGACTATTAATTATAGCTGTTTCTCTTTCACTTAAAGAAACTGTATTTAACCTCATAATTCAGAAAGGTTTGGAGGAATAAAAAATATTCTTAATTTCAATACACTTTTACCAATGCATTTTTTGTGGTAAAATACTTTTATGATGTAATTTACATAATGTTTTTATTCAAAATCTTAGAGCTGCAGATTAAGCTCATTCAATTTATGAAAAATGCCTGCCATATATCCTAATTGACAAAGCCAGTGTTCACGGTCAAATTAATGAGCCAAGTCAGACCTAATTTCTGTCAGAAATACTCTGACTCCATTTTTCAATTCAAATAAGCATGTTATTATGCATTCCTACGACAGCCATTTAACTTCTGAATTCTATGTCCAAGATAGAAGGGCAGATAGGATAAAGCATGCATCCTCGCTGAGAGCTTGCCACCTGGGTGAAATCAGATGCCTCCAGCTTCCCCAGCTCTTATGTATAGGCTTTTTGTTTTGTCCTTAGGTTGCTTTCCATAAAAATTGATACATCCTTTACCAAGAGTCAGGAAATACACGTGGTGAGATCATTATAACACTTCTCCCTAGTCTATAATATATGCACTTTCCATAAGTATTGATACATTCTTTACCAAGAGTGAAGAGTTACAGGTGGTGAGGTCATTATAACATTTCTCCCCAGTCTACGATGTAAGAGGGCACCTCAACACAGGCCAAAAGCCTGTTTCTAATGCCATAGTCATTCCTTAATAGATGTACATGCAATATAAGAAGTACCAGCCTTGATATTCCTTGGATCAAGGAGATTCCTTGACACAAATATTGGAAACTGTACTTTGATTGATACCCTGGAAATTTCTAAATCCTAGATCAATGCACCATAGGATTGGTGTATAACATTTAATTAATTAATTAATGTTATGTATTTTTATGCTCAAATAAAATTAATAAAATGTTATGATTTTCTTTTGAAAAGTAATTAACAGTTTTCAATGAGAAGGTAGAAATAGAAAACCAACAAAACACCCCAACTCCAAGTAGAACAGTTTTATGAAAGTACATATGGAAAATGAGATTATACCAATTGATTCCCTTAAAACTATTCATGTCTTGGGAAGAGTGGTAGACATACCCTGGCTTAAAAATGCTGAGACAGAGAGGATTCTGTTATTTGCAACTGGAATCTGCAATGGGAAGAATTCAGAAATATTACCTGCAATACTGCAGATGTTGTGGGGCATTATCACAGGATGTGGATGATTAATCAGGATATGAGCAAGGGTGCATAGTATGGCCTCAGACATGCTGCAGGCTAATGGCTTTATGAACATTCCTGCTAGGGTGACCTGATGTCCTGTGTTGTACTCAAGTAGCTCCTCTGCTGCTGACTCTGATCCTTCCATGTATATAGTAGGTGCTGAACAAATATTTCAAATCAGAAAATGTTAAAACTGCTGGGCATCGTGGCTCACTCCTGCAATCCCAGCACTTTGGGAAGCTGAAGCAGGTGGATCACTTGAGCCCAGGAGTTCAAGACCAGCCTGGGCAGCAGGGTGAAACCCTGTCTCTACCAAACAAACAAACAAAAATTAGCTGGGTGTGGTGGTTCATGCCTATAGTCCCTGTTACTGGGTAGGCTGAGGTGGGAGGAAGGCTTGAACCTGGGAGGCAGAGGTTGCAGTGAGTTCATATGGCTATACTCCAGTGGTGTGCACTGGAGTTGCCTGGGTGACAGAAAGAAAGAAAGAAGTGAAAGAAAGAAAGAAAGAAAGAAAGAAAGAAAGAAAGAAAGAAAGAAAGAAAGAAAGAAAGAGAGAGAGAGAGAGAGAAAGAGAGAAAGAGAGAAAGAGAGAAAGAGAGAAAGAGAGGGAGAGAGAGAAAGAAAGAGAGGGAGAGAGAGAAAGAAAGAAAGAAAGAAAGAAAAAGAGAGAGAGAAAGAAAGAAAGAAGGGGAGAAAGAGAGAGAGAGAAAGAAAGAGAGGGAGAGGGAGAGAAAGGGAGGAAGGGAGGGAAAAAGAAAGAAAATGTTAAAACTTGGTGAGACTTGAGCAATCATCTAATCTAATAATTTCCGTGTGTAGATGAGAAAACTGAAGTGCTGAACAGAGAAACAATTTGTCAAAGGTGACATACTCAGTGAAGTGGTTGACCTACCATGGCTCTGCTCTGTCTCAATGTGTCTAACAATTTACTTTTTAAAGTTTCCAAAACTAACAGTGTCTGCAAAAAAGCAAATACACCAACTACAGATAAATATCTGGTTTTAATACACTATCTTGAGGATAATGAGATCCCTTGTCCAGTGGTTACAGCCGCGTGATTCTTAGCCACAGCAGGGTTCAGGGAAGAATGTAGAGGCAGTCCTGGTGTGGTATAAAAGGTATAAAAGGAGCAACTAGGGTAAGGTCAGGGATAGGGAGCTATGGCTGGCTACAATGCCTGACTCCAAAGAGGAGAGAAAAATTTCGAGTTGAATTCACAGTTAACAGTGGGTCTTACTCAATGCAGTAGCTATGTTTCAGAAACTTTGCATATTGAGTTTTAGGAAATACAATCCTGTTTTAAACAGGGGGTGGCACTAGTCATTTAGAAGATTGTTACAATGGATCACTTTTCGAAGTGAAAGACTATAGGAGCTGCTCAGTGGTAGACAGGGTCGAATCCATGGATAAGTGAACAAGTGCATTGAAGTGCTAGGCCAAATTGTGGAGGTGCTGGGAGGTGACAGAGCAGTATATGCAAGGAATTTGGTGACACATGGCAAAGTAGGTTGTCTGGGCCAATCACAGGGCATAGCCCTTGGCAGGAAGACCGTCATCTTTGGGTAGGTCTTTTAGCAGAGTCCAGCAGCGCTCTAATGCAGAATGGCATTGGGGCAAAGGTCAAAAGCAGGCAGATCTAAAGACCTGGAAAAATTGGAATAGCAGCAGGTTAACTAAAGTAGAGGGTTTATTCAAATAGTAAAACCAAGGCCCAGTTACAGAAAGAAGATAAACCATTGTTATGAAGGCAGTATGGCAAAGTGGTCGGGGTGCTGGCTGTGCAGTCAAGGGATCCCCTGAATGTTGGCTCTACAATTGACCGATTATATAACCAGGTAGATGGATGGCCAAAAAAAAAAAAAAAAAAAAAAAACCCAAATAGCCTCAATTCTCCACACCTCCCTATATTCTCATTCTTTGCAATGTAATTTTGCAGTTCTTTCTATCAAGAGGAGGAATCTATTTTTCTATCTTTTGAATCTGGGCTAGCCTGTGACATGCTGTGGGCAAAAGAAAGGGGCAGAATTGTGATGCGGTGCCAGTTCTAACCTACAGCCCAAGAGGACTTGCATACCTCAGCTTCCTCTCTTGGAATCCTGTTTAGCTGCCATGTGAGCATGCTTGCACTAGCCTACAGGGGCAGAGACAAGTCAGCTCAGCTGTTCCACCTAAGGCTCCGGACTTGTGTAAGAACCCAGTCAAGATGAGCACATCTGATGTGCATCTGACTACACATGCCACAGAGACCTCATGCAAGTCTAGAACCACCCAGCTGAGCCCAGCCAAAATTGCTGATCCACAGAATTATGAGCCAAATACATGTTTATTCTTTTAATCTAGTAGGTTTGGGGTAGTTTGCTACACAGCAATAGAACTGATACAGTGATCCTGGGAAGGTTAACTAGCTATTTTGAGCCTCAGTTTCTCCTAGGTGAAATGCAGATGATAATAGTGCCTACTTCATAGAGTTATTGTGAGGATGTAATGAAATAAAGCCTAAAATTATTGAAAATATTATTTGGTAACTACTAAGGGCTTAATAAATGTTGTTGCTATTATTACTAGATTGAGGCATAAGGGTGGTTATAGGATATGGTTTGGAGACATAAGAGGGCTCTTGAAATCCCCCCACATGCATTATTTCAAGATTCAGCAGGAAAATGGCTTAGTGAATATATCTACAGGGAACAGGAGCTGGGTAGGAAGCCAGCCCAGCTTTGTAATGAGTATCCCCTTATTTACAAAGTTTGCAAATCTGAGTTTCTACATTTCAAGTTTTCTGAAAACTGGACTTGCCTGCACTAACTACTATTTCTATGTTCTCAATATAGAAGCTGAATGAAGCTGTTCTTTTGTAAAGACTTTAGAAACTCCAGCTCTCTATGAGTCAGTAAAAACCCCTTTTAAAAAAGAATCTGCAGGCTGTTTAGGTACTAATTGTCCCTGGACTATTTTTAATAAACCATTTTTGTTCAGCTTATCATTCTCCATCTACTGATACCTCTGCACAGGTAAAATGTAGTACAATTTATCTTACCAGACTAAAATATGATCCATCTAGCACTGAATGGGTTTTAATCCAAAGCAAGTAATTAATTGTCATAGCCTAGTAATTACCAAGCAGGGATAGGATTATATAAAAATGGCTCTTGGATGGGATCATGATTCTGTCCAATTTTAAAATTCTTTTTGGTCTTATCCTCTGATTTATGAGCCAGCTCTAAAAGGCTGAAGCAGGATTTGGTGCCAGTCCTTGTCCAAGTGAAGTCTCACCCTCCATTTAGGTAATTAATGGAGGCCACTAAAACTCAGATCTCGTTAGGCTTCTTTATAATCAATTGCTTCCAGGATTAAAATTGAGACTCTTGATTGGGGAACTTGAAGCAGATCCAGCAGCCTCAGCTTTCTGATTGCAGTTTTTAAAGCTTCAGCCATTTGAACTTGACAAATAAGATTTGTACCAAGCACCCCAGGGATGTGGAGGCCAGCAAGGTGGCCAAGGTCAGAGGATTGGCAATAGATTCAGAACCATGATGTAGTTCCTAGCAATGGGATTTCTGCAAACACTTATGTGCATTTTCCTATATGGCCATGTCATATCTTTCTCATTTAAATAAGGCAAACTCAAATTGTGAGGTCTGTGCCTTTTCCATTAGATTTCTTATTCTGAAATTTTTATGATTCTAAAACTTTTATCTTACAAAAGATTCACTAAGGTATTTTTCCAAAAATGCATATTACTAGCTGTATGTTTGATTTGGTAGGTCTGAGGTGGGGATGTAGAATTTGAGTTTTTAACAAGGTCCTCAGGTGATTCTTATGCTGGTTCTCCAAGGACCACTCTGTGAAGACATTGCCACAGTGATGAATTTCTAAAGGTTCTGTGTGTCTATGAGAAGAGCGGAGGATGAGGTTGTTATCTCTGCATGTTATTTCTGAGTTGTTATCACTGCCCACACAGTGATCACAGTAAAGTCCTGCATTCAGTGGTATCCAATAAAAGTGACTCATTATTACTCACTGTGCTAGAGTTCATACTCCACCAGATGGAATTCAAGTAGCCATTAATTTATGCCATAAAAAGTTGGGAATGTATTAGTACACAGACAAATGTTTGTTCTTTTAAAAGAGCAATAAAATTGATAAACGCTAAGCAATAGCAATAATAAGCAAGAAAAAAAGAGAGACGGCACAAATACCAATATTAGGAGTTAAAAAAATTTGATGCTGCTACAAATCTATCAGATATGTATTAATCATGCCTTTTTATTTTCTAACATTTTGGCATCTGGGGCCTTGCTGATCTTAGAGAGCCTTCCCATCTCAGAGACTTCCCTCTCTTAGGGCTGATCCTGAATAGACTTTTCCTCTTAGGGCTACCCAATTCCTAGACATAGTGAAGAACTTACCTGCAAGGGTTCCTTTCATATGCAAATAAACCAGTTCAACAACCCCCTTTGTTGAGCTCTCACATGCCTTGCCATTATTTCCCTGCTCCAATCACCCCAGGTCCAGGTTTCTGACAACCAGGGGCGGCCCTTCTCCCTAGAGCCTGCTGAAATTATTCCAATTAGCCAATCATAAACCTACTTAGCACACTTACCCTGCCTTGGCATCTCTTTCCACATACACACACATGCACACACACATACACACACACAAACACATACACACACACACACACAACCAACACAATACTCTTGCCCATGTTTCCCCCTCACTCCCTCTGCTCCTGACTGACCCTGCTGCTTCCCCATGTATTTCTCTGTGGCATGCTGTGCCTTCTGCTTCTATGGAACTGTAGATATTAATACAAAAATCTTCCTTCATGATAGTCATTTCTGTGCCCATGTATTTTATCACACATGATTAAAACAAATCTAATGGACATTTTACAACACATCAAATCAACAATGGATAGAACATCCAGACAGAAAATCAATGAGGAAACATCAGACTTGAACCACACTATACACCAAATGGACCTAATGGATATATGTAGAGCAAGCTTGTCCAACCCGTGGCCCACAGGCCACATGCAGCCCAGGATGGCTTTGAATGCAGCCCAACACAAATTCATAAACTTTCTTAAAACATTATGAGATCTGTCACAATTTTTTTCTTAGCTCAACAGCTATTGTTATTGTTAGTGTATTTTATGTGTGGCCCAAGACAATTATTCTTTCAATGTGGCACAGCGAAGCCAAAAGATTGGACTCCCTTGATGTAGTACATTCTACCAAACTGCAGAGGAATACACATTCTTCTCAAGCACATACGGAACATTCTTTGGGATAGATCACATATGAGACCACAAAATAAGTCTTCACATATTTAAGATTTAAATCATATCAAATATCTTCTCTGACCACAATGGTATGAAATCAGAAATTAACAACAGAAGGTAAATTAGAAAATTCACAAAAATGTGGAAATTTAACAATGCACTCCTGAACATTCGATGAGTCAGAGGAGAAATCAAGACATACCTTGAGAGAAACAAAATGAAAACAATACATACTAAAACTATGGAGTACAGCAAAAACAGTAATGAGAGGGAAGTTCATAGTGAAAAATGCCTGCCTTAAAAAAGAAGAAAGGTCTCAAATAAACAACCTAACTTTACACCTCAGGGAATTCGAGAAAGACGAACAAACTAAACCCAAAGTTAGTGAAAGTTAGTAAAGATTAGAGCAGAAATAAATAAAATGGGAACTAGAAAAACAATAGAAAAAAATCAACAAAACTAAGAATTAGTTTTCTGAAATGATAAATAGAATTGGCAAAACCCTTGACTGACTTAACTAACAAAAAAGGAAAGAAGACTCAGATAAATAAAATTAGGAATGAAAATGGAAACACTACAGTTGACACCACATGAATAAAAAGGATCATAAGAGACTACTATGAACAATTATACATCAAGAAATTGCATAACGTAGTAGAAATGGAGAAATTCCTATAAACATACAACCTACCAAGACTGAATCATGGAGAAACAGAAAATCTAAACAGACCAATAATGAGTAAGGAGATTGAATCAGCAATCAAAAACTTCCCAAGAAAGAAAAGCCCAGGACTAGATGATGTCATTGGTGAATTCTATCAAGCACTTAAAGAGGAATTAATGCCATTTTTTCTCAAACTCTTCCGAAAAATTGAAGAGGAGCAAATACTTCCAACTTCATTTTATGAGGTTGGTATTACCCAGATACCAAGGCCAGACAAAGACACTACAAGAAAAGAAAACTACAGGTCACTATTTCCGATGAGTAAAGATACAAAAATTCCCAACAAAATATTAGCAAATTAAATGCAACAACACAGTGAAAAGATCACATGCCGTGATCAAGTGTGGTTTATCCCTGAGATGCAGGGATATTTTAACATACGCAAATCAATACATGTGACACACCAGATTAACAGAATGAAAGATAAAAATCACATGATCATCTCAATAGATACAGAGAAAGCATTTGATAAAATTCCACATCCTTCATGATAAAGACACTCAACCAACTAGGTTTAGCAGGAATGTATTTCAACATAATAAAGGCCACTTATGACAATCCCCCAGGTAACATCTTAATCAATGTTAGAATGGCTCTTATTTAAATTAAAGATAACACGTGTTGGCAAGGATATGGAGAAATCAGAACTCTTGTACACTGTTGGTAGAAATGTGAAATGCAGTCACTATGGAAAACAGTATGGAGCCTTCACAAAGAAATTAAAAATGGAACTAGCATGTTATCCAGCAATCCCATTCCCGGGTATACATCCATAATAATTGGAGTCAGAATCTCAAAGACATATCTGCATTCTCATGTTCATTGTAGCATTATGTACAACAGCCAAGGCATTTGTGTTGGGAAACTACCCAATTGTCTACTGACAGATAAATGGATAAAGAAAATGTGGCACTGTATATATAATGGAATATTATTCAGCCTTAAACACGAAGGAAATTTGTTAACAACATGGGTAGACCTGGAAGACATTATGCAAAGTAAAATAAGCTAGTCAAAAAATAACAAATATTGCATAATTTTATTTATATGAGAAATCTAAAATAGTCAAACTTTTAGAAGCCGAAAATAGAATGGTGGTTGCCAGGGAAGGAGAGAAGGGGGAGATGGAGAGTTGTTGCTCAGTGGGTATAAAGTCACCATTATACAAGATGAATAAATTCTAGAGATCTGCTGTACAACATTGTGCCTGTGGTTAATAATACAGTGTTTTCACTTAAACATTGAGGAGAGTAGATCTCATGATACATGATCACACACACACACACACACACACACACACACACACTAAAGCACAGAGACACAAGGAACTTCAGGGGTTGATGGGTATATTTATTACCTTGATTGTGGTGATGGTGGTATGGGTGCGTATATGTGTCCAAACTCATCAAATTGTATACATTAAGTATATGCAGTTTTTGTGTATATCAATTATACCTCAATAAAGCTGTAAAAAGATAAGAGGATATTATGAGCAACTTTATGCTAATAAATTTGAAAATAGAGATGACATGGATAAATCCAAGAAAACCACAATTTATGAAAATTGATAAAAAATAGAAAAAAATCTCAGTATCATACATCTGTTTAAAGAAGGTGAATGTGTGATTTTAAAAATCTTCCAAAAAGAAAATTTCAGGTCCAGTCCAGATGGCTTTCTTTACTCTTGAATTCTTCCTATTTTTTAACTTTTTATAAATTTTAAGCAGGTCTACTTAATTTTCTATCATCATTACTTTAGTTCATTATATTTAGGAAAATAGAGCATTAAAGCAAAATTGTATTGTAAATTAAACATTAGTGAACCTAATAAATTGTTGACTTTATATTTTTTATAACAGATATATAATTTAAATAAATGTGTAAGATTTTTTCATAGATTGAAATTGTTTACTCTTCAATGAGTAAAATATAGTTTCAATTTTAATATGAATAAGAAAATATGATGAAAAAATTGTTTTGATACAAAAGAAGACAAAGACATTATGGAGAGAAAGAAAAGAGAACAATCTCTCCTGTGAACATAGATGCCAGTTCTGGGTGGCACCCAGCACCCATGAGGATGTATCTTCAGTGGCTCCAGGTAATATAGGCTGGATTCACCTGACCTATATTATTTGATGGATCCAATAGTCTTCAAAATGTTTGTAGCAGTTACGGAGGTCATATAGAGAGTTTGGTAAGTTCCAATATGAAAACTATAGTGCACCCATAGGATTTTGGATCAAGGCAATTAGACTTCCAGTAAGTGACAATTTTCCCTTAAGTAACAGCTTTGGCCCTGATATTGTGCTGTGTTTGAGATTAAACATCTGAAAGATCATGTGGCCATGAGTTCCGAGCAGTCCATTATATCTGGATGCAATTTTATTCAATCCATCATAAAGGGAGGCATCTTCAGCGTGCTCTGTCATCAAGGGGAAGAGATACATGCCAGATCAAGCCTCAACAGGTCCTGAACGTGCAGGTTAGTTTCAGAAGTTGTGGGTTGCAAACCCGCTCAGAACCCCTATTCCTGTCTCTCTGCTCCCCTCCCTTAATCTGCACCTGGACACATGAGGAGCTCCTTATGATTGGCTAACTAATGAGGAAAAAATTAGAGCTTTGTGTACAGGTGACTATGCAGGTGACTATGTACAATATACCATGGATTACAGTGGTATTAGAGCCCTACTCAGATGTAGCTTTGAAGCATAATAAAAAATGGGAAATTTTTCTGTGGGCAGAACTTTAATGATTACAGTATATATTATTTCCCACTTGTCCTGGACATAGAGACAAACAATTGTAAGGATTTACACAGACAGTTGGGCAGTAGCTAATTTTTTGGGTGAAGGTTAGGAACTCAGAGAATGATTCAAACATGAACTATAAGGAAGTTCAGGAAACATATGTGGGTCCAAAATATGAGCATATTTCTATCCTGCATACATAGTACTAGAAATCCCTCACTTCAGAAGAATACTTTAATAACCAAACAAGGATGGTCTTATCTCCTCTGGATGTCAGTCATCCACCTGCCCCAGCCACCTGTGGTGTTGCTCACATTGCCCATGACCAGGGAAGCTATAGCGAAATAAACTTTCCCTTGCCACCACTGCTGACACCCCAATGTGGCAGCAAAACAATTATCCTCAAGACCCTTACATGAAGCCATACTGAATACCTGGTAGCCAGTAATTCCACTGGACCCTTTTCATCACAGAACATGCAGTCATTATTTTTCTTATCAAACTATTAATAAACACGTCTGGGAGCTGAGTTTTCTGTTCTTACACACGGATGTACTGAGAGCCTTGTTCACTATTATGGCTTCTATTCCATACTACACTTATCCTAAATAGGGACTCACCTCAGTGTGCAAAATGGAAGACAATGAGCTGATGGGATACACTGGTCTTATCACATTATGTTCCCTATAACCCAGAAGTAGCTGACCTCATAAAATGGTGGAATGTCCTGTTAAAGACACAGAAAAAGCAAAAGAAGGACTTCTGAGGAATTAGAGGCTTTCAGGAGTGAAACATTGGTTACTCCACTTGGAAGGAATCCTACTGACTGAAAGACTGAATAAGGGCAAAACAACATCAAATGGGCAGGATTCACACATAATAGCTACGGCATAGTGACCAGCTGCATAAAGACCAGTTAGTCATGGTGAAATCTATCTTTTAGTCCATAGGTTACAAAATTGTGAGATGGTATTATGGCAGACCTAGAGGATGAATAAAAAATACCCAATAACATAGAAGCAAACACTGAGGCAAGAATTTGGGTTCATGCCATTTAAGAGGTGACTCTAGGAAGTATCAGTAGGACAGTGGGAACATGAGATTGAGGAAGAGAAAGTGCAGGCAATAAAGGATACACTACTGTGCATATTATCAGTGTGAGCAACTGGAGCATAATCCCAAAGGATTAAGCACTCTGGAAAACTGTAGAATATACACCTAAGAGTTCTTCCAATAGTTCCAGAAAGGGTGAGGAAAAACATATATTTGTCTATTAGTTCCTTTAGTCATTGGTTGAGGGCTGCTCCCAAAGTGGTGATAACTTTTAGACATTTCCTTCCCTACCCCAAAAATGGTCAAAGAAGTCTCCAGTGGCCAGAGAGAGCCTACAGGCAAAGAGTGCTGGCAGTTGGAAGTCAGGGCCAGCATGTACTGAAATAGTACATGGTAAAGAGATATGAGATGCACTTAGAGATTCTATCCTGGGAGAACAGGGGCCTGGA
The DNA here is from genome assembly GCF_000001405.40 of Homo sapiens. Taxonomy (NCBI): domain Eukaryota; kingdom Metazoa; phylum Chordata; class Mammalia; order Primates; family Hominidae; genus Homo; species Homo sapiens. The sequence goes on along the minus strand of NC_000020.11, from coordinate 4,540,707 downwards.
GGCCTTGATTCTAGGTGCAATAGCTGGCTGAGACTTTCAGGAAGGAGTACAGTTGAAGGTTTACGTGGTATGATTTTGTAATGTTAGATGGCAGCATTTGTAAAATTCTGTGAATGGAGATATGGACAAATGGATAGCTGAGGAATAAATGTAGTGGATATCTATGGCTTCCATCTGCCCAGCATCTCTTTCTTTGGGAGAATTGCAGGCCCCCCTCCCTTTCCTTCATGCCCTGCCACCAATATTCTCTTCTGGTAGAGAAACTCATCAGAGGATAACCCACACTCCTGCTCTACTGACCACAGGTGTTGAGCACATGCCCAAACTAGGCCAAATTCCTTCTCTTGGGAGCATCTGAGTGGGAATGCACAGGGAGGTAAGATGGTTGGTTCTGGAGTTGTATGAAGGTAACAGTGTAATGATGAAGTCTGGGAATTTCTGTCTGTGAGATCCCTGAATCTTTCCTGACTACATACTTCCAGAGACTGGTTTATTAAGCTCTTTAGTTCTATAAACTACCAAGCATATTTTCAATAAACCCCTCTTTTGCTTAAATTAGGGTCAGTTTAGATGCCTTACCTCCAAACAAGCTGAACTCAGGCAAACATTCAAAGTTCCCTGGATGTCAAAGCAAAAAATTGCCTGTATAAGAAATTACATGAGTCCTATTTCCAAATAATTTTAGGTTTATTTTCCCCAGATTATATTAATTTCTCTGAACAAAATGGGACTTGAAGGCAGATGGAAACTTAAAGCTAAGTATCTGCCTCTTTCATGTTCAAAAGGAGAGGAATTCGTTAAAGAACTAAAAGACCAAAACATGGACATGGAACTAACTGTGATACAAATTGATTAAGCTTCAAAGTGCTGAAATCTTTAGAAGATGGAAATCGATAAAGAGGGAGAAACTGGGGAAGTTTCTTTAGCATTAATCTTTCTGAACCACTCTTAGGAGAAATATACATCCTTCCCCAAGGAGAAGGCACTTTGGAGGTCCTGTAGATTGCCCAGTTGAGGAAGGGCGGGAGGAGAGGGATGCATGAAACCCAATAAGCAGGCAGCCTGAGTTGGTAGTCAGCTCACCTTCCAACTGGGAATTTCTTTGCCTATTGGAGAGGAAATTTGGCAGCAGCTGACTTTTGGATAATAATGAGCTGTTGCAAATAAATGCCAAGGAATGTTAAATGGCCCATGATGTACCAATCTACACTGATTTATTGTCAATGGCTAATGAGAGGGTAAAACTTAATTAAACACTTTAAGATATGGCTGATTTAAGAGTCCTAATATTGTGTAAAATTGTAAATATCTTCCCAATTCAATTGCAAGACTTTAAAGATAAACCTTTTAAATTTGTATTTAATACCTGTCTTAGTTTGGATTGCCCCAGAAGCAGAGCCTAAGATCTCTAGAAATAACTCATTTTGCATAAAAGAAACTCTGTACCCTTTGACCAACATCACTTCATTCCCCTTCCCCCACAGTCCTTGGCAACCACAATTCTGCTCTCCACTTCTGTAAGTTTGACTGTTTCAGATTCCATCTATAAGAGAGATCATGTAGTATTTCTGTTTCTGTGTCTTGCTTATTTCACTTAGCATAATGCCTTCCAGCTCCATTCTTATTGTCACAATTGGCAGGGTTTCCTTCCTTTTTAAGGCTGAATAATATTCTGTTGTACACATACACCATATTTTCTTTATGCATTCATCCATCAAAGGACATTTAAGTTGTTTCCATATCTTGGCTATTGTGAATAATGTGCAATGAACATGGGAGTACAGATATCTCTTTGCAAACATGGGTTTTTTTGTTTTTTGTTTTGTTTGTTTTTTGAGATGGAGTCTGGCTCTGCTGCCCAGACTGGAGTGCAGTGGCCCGATCTTGGCTCATTGCAACCTCTGCCTCCCGGGTTCCAGTGATTCTCCTGCCTCAGCCTCCTGAGTAGCTGCGACTACAGGTGTGCACCACCATGCCCAGCTAATTTTCATATTTTTAGTAGAGATGGGGTTTCACCATGTTGGCCAGGCTGGTCTCAAACTCGTGACCTCAAATGATCCAACCACCTCAGCCTCCCAAATCGCCGGGATTACAGGCATGAGCCACCATGCCTGGCCTTTTTTTTTTTTTTTTTTGAGACTGAGTTTCCCTCTGTCGCCCAGGTGGGAGTGCAGTGGCACGATCTCAGCCCATGGCAGCCTCTGCCTCCCATGTTCAAGTGATTCTCCCGCCTCAGCCTCCCTAGTAGCTGGGATTACAGGAGTGTGCCACCACACCTGGCTAATTTTTGTATTTTTAGTAGAGACGGGGTTTCATCATGTTGGCCAGGCTGGTCTCGAACTCCTGACCTCAAGTGATCCACCTGCCTCTGCCTCCCAAAGTGCTGGGATTACAGTCATGAGCCACTGTACCTGGCCTACAAACCTGCTTTCAATTCCTTTGGATATACACGCAGAAGTAGGATTGCTGTACCATATACTAGTTCCATTTTTAATTTTTTTGAGGAACCTCCATACTGTTTTCCATAATGGCTGTAGTAATTTACATTCCCACTAACAATGTATAAGGTTTCCTTCTTCTCCACATCCTGACCAACCATCTTTTGCCTCTTTGATAAGTAACCATCTTAACAGCTGTGAGGTAGGGTTTCATTGTGGTTTTGATTTCCATTTCCCTGATAATTGATGTTGGACACATTTTCATACGCCTGCTGGCCATTTAAATTTGTTCTTTCATGGAGTGTCTATTGAGGTCCTTTGCCCATTTTAAAATCATGCTTTTTGCTTATTTTTGCTATTGAGTTGTAGTGGCTCCTTCTATATTTTGGATACTAATCCCTTATTGGATGTAGGTTTGCAAATACTTTTCTTATATCATATGTTGTCTTTTCATTTTGTTGATTGTTTCTCTTGCTATGCAGAAGTTTTTGGGTTTCATGTTATCCCACTTGTCTATTTTTGCTTTTGTTGCCTGAACTTTTGGGGTCATAACCAAAAATTATTGCCAAGACCAATGTCAAGATTGGTTTTTCCTATGTTTTCTTCTAGGAGGTTTACAGTTTCAAGTTTACATTTAAGTCTTTAATCCATTTTGAGTTAATTTTTGTATATGGTGTGAAATAGGGGTCTAATTAAATTTTTTTCTTGCATGTGGATATCCAGATTTTTAAAAATCACCATTTGTTGAAGAGACTGTTCTTTTCCATTTTGTGTTACTGACACTCCTGACAAAGGCCAATTAATCATATATATGTGGGTTTATTTCTGGGTTCTCTATTCTGTTCCATTGGTCTATGTGTTTTTATGCCAGTACTAAACTCTTTTGATTACTATAGCTTTGTAGTATATTTTGTAATTAGGTGGTGTGATGCCTTCAATTTTATTTTTCTTACTCAAGATTGCTTTGACTATTTAGGGCTTTTTGTGGTATCATATTAATTTTAAGATTTTTTTTTATTTCTGTAAAACATACCATTGGGATTTTGATAGGGATTGCATTAAATCTGTATATCACTTTGGGTAGTAAGAAGATTTTGACAATATTAATTCTTCCAATTCATGAACATGGGATAACTATTCCTTTATTTGTGTCTTTTTAGATTTCCTTCATCAATGTTTTATAATTTTTGGTATATAGGTCTTTCATCTCTTTGCTTAATTCCCAAATATTTTATTTGTTGCTGCTGCCATTGCTAATGTATTAATAAATGGAATTGTTTTCTTAATTTCCCTTCAGATAGTTTGTTGGTGTATAAAAATACCACTGATTTTGTATGTTGATTTTGTATCCTGCAAATCCTTTATTGAATTTGTTTATTAGTTCTAACAACTTTTGTTTTAGTGAATCTTTAGGATTTTCTACATATATGATCATACCGTCTGGAAACAGAGATAAGTTTACTTCTTCCTTTCCAATTTGGATACTTTTAATTTCTTTTTCTTGTCTGATTACTCTGTCTAGGACTTCCAGTACTATGTTGAATAGCAGTGGCAAGACTGGGCACCCTTGCCTTGTTCTGGATCTTAGAGGAAAAGCTTTTAGTCTTTCTCCATTGATTATGATGCTAGAGGTAGGTTTTTCATATATGCCTCTATTGTGATGAAATAAGTTATTTCTATACCTATTCTGTTGAGAGTTTCTTTTATCATGAAAGGATATTGAATTTGTCAAAATACTTTTCCTGCATCTATTGAAATAATCATGTGGTTTTTGTCTCTCATTCTGTTAATGTAGTATCTGTTGTATCACAATGATTGATTTTTGTACATCAAACCATGATTGATCTCAAGGATAAATTTCACCCCATCATGGTGTATGATCCTTTTAATGTGCTGTTGAATTCAGTTTGCTAGTATTTTATTGAAGATTTTTGCATGTGTGTTCATCAAGGATATTGGCCTGTAGTCTCTTTTCTTGTGTTGCCTTTTTCTGGCTTTAGTATCAGGGTGATGCTGGCCTCATAATATGAGGTTAGGTGTGTTTCTTCTTCTATTTTTCTGGAGCATTTAATAAATGTTGGTGTTAATTTTACTTTAAGTGTTTAGCAGAATTCACTCATGAAGGCTTCTAGTCCTGGGCTTTTCTTTGTTGAATGCTTCCTACCTTTCTGACATTACTTAAATTACATTAAATTTATTTTTATTAAAAATAATCTCTTCCTGTCATTCAGGAAGGAGGGTATATATGTAAATGCAGTGCATCATCTAGATCCATCTCCACAATTAGTTTTGTGAGTAGCTTGATGTCTGTGTATTCCACCTCTTCTTCTCTGTACTTTTTCTGTCCAACATTGTTCCCTCTCCCCATGGCTGTGTAACATAGTTAGACTTTAGAGTTTGGTAGACTTAAATTCCAGTCCAAGTCCTACCACTTCCAAGCTGTTCAATTAAAAAAAAGTAACAACTTTATGCAGATATAACTCACACACCACAAAATTTACCATCTTAAAGTACACAATTCTATGTTTTAAAAATATATTTAAAGAGTTGTGCAAACTTCACCACTAATTTTAGAAATTTTTTTATCAGTACTAAAAGAAGCCCTATACCCATTAGCAGATACTCCTCTTTCCCTCCTACCTCCTGAAACTCATTAGTACTTTCTGTCTCTGTGGATTTACCTACAGAATGGAGAAAAGAATATTTGCAAATTATACATATAATAAAGGGTCTATATCCAAAATATGTAAGACTTCTCAAGAGTTATCTTAGGCTGGGCACGGTGGCTCACGCCTGTAATCCCAGCACTTTGGAGGCTGAGGCATGCAGATCACTTGAGGTCAGGAGTTCAAGACCAGCCTGGCCAACATGGTGAAACCCTGTCTCAACTAAAATACAAAAATTAGCCAGGAGTGGTGGCATGCACCTGAAAGCCCAGCTACTCGGGAGGTTGAGGCAGGAGAATCGCTTGAACCCAGGAGGTGGGGGTTTCAGTGAGCTGATATCATGCTACTGCACTCCAGCCTGGGCAACAGAGTGAGGCTCCATCTCAAAAAATAAATAAAATTTAAGAGTTATCTTAACAATAAAAATACAAATAACCCAATTTTAAAATGGGCAAAGGATTTGAATAGACATTCCCCAAAGAAGAAATTTAACTGATCAATGAGAACATTTAAAAATGCTCAAATTGGCCAGGCACAGTGGCTTACACCTGTAATCCTAGCACTTTGGGAGGTTGAAGTGGATGGATCACTTGACACCAGGAGCTTGAGGTTACCCTGGGCACATAGTGAGACCCTATCTCTACAAAAAATTAAAAAATTAGCTAGGCATGGTGGCATATGCCTGTAGTCCTAGCTACTTGGGAGGCTGAGGTGGGAGGATTGCTTGGGCCCAGGAGTTTGAGGTTACAGTGAGCTATGATTGCTCCACTATACTCTAGCCTGGGCAACAGAGTGAGACACTGTCTCTAAACAAACAAACAAAATTACAATGAGATATCACTTTATATCCTCTGGAATGGCTATTATCAATGAATCAAACAATAACAAATATTAGCAAAGACGTGAAAAACTTAAAACGCTAATATATTGCTGGTGAGATTGTAAAATGGTACAACCACTTTGGAAATATGTTTGAAAGTTCCTGAAAATGTTATAGAATTTCCATGTGGCCCAGTGATTCCACTCCTAGTCATATGCTTAAAATAAATAAAAACACATGTCCATACAAAAACTGTACATGAATATTCCTAGCAGAATTAACTATGATAGCCAAAAAGTAGAAACAACCCATGTGTTCCCCAACTGATGAATAGATTTTAAAAATGGGTTACACAATTGGATATTATTTGGCAATAAGAAGGAATGAACTACTGATGCATGCTACAACAGTGAAAACATTCTGATTGAAAGAAGCCAGGTACAAAAGACCATATATGAACGATGGCAAGCTGTTTGGTTTGAGGATGCTAACTTTCTTTGTATGAAAAATGAGAATAATAATATTTATCTCAAAGGGTCATTATAATATTAGCAAATGTACGCAAAGTGCGCAGTGGGATGACTGGCACAGGAAAGCATGTGAGTGGAGATGATAACATCGCTGTCATCATTTGACACAGGACTAGACACAGCAGATGCTTAGAAAAGACATTTTGACAGCTTGATTTTCAGCTCCAAAGACTTCCATGGTTGGCTAAAATTCTGGGACACGTCTGAACCAAAACTGTGAATCTAGCCTTTCTTGGGCAGGCAGGGAAACATTTCTAATTTCCTGATCTGAGTCTGCTGCTTGAGCTGCCCCTCTGATGAAATGCCACACATCTTCCCCCACAGCGTGTGACAGCCGCCGCTGACCTGACTTACAAAGACACTCTTTGAGCAACGAAGAAGTAACAATGTTCTAAGGAGATTTAAATCTAGTCTTTTGGAAAACTCAGTTTTGGGTTTCTTTCTTTCCCCGGCATTTTCTCGTAGGGAACCTTTCTATCCCTTTACTCAAAATTAAACAACATAGATTTATAGAGCAATTTGCCTGTGGAAGACCTCACAGGGGAACAGTTTGTAAGCCAAGGCAGTAGATCTCTGCTTGCCATGGTAACTTAGTCCCTGAAAGACAATATCCCTAAAAGACAACCCAGTTTCATTTTTCCCTGGGTCTGGTTGGAGTAAATACTTTCAGGGGCTTCCTGTGTGCCTCTTGGCCCAGTAAGTATCCATGCTAACAAGTACACGGCAGCTGGGGACATGGTGTAGGCATGCACAAAGTTAGATTTTCAGTCAACAAAGATCAACGGCACTTAACTACGGCTATTCTTCTATTTGGTGGGAAAAAGAGTGATTCTTCTATTTGGGGGAAAGAAAGAGCTGAAGGGCTGTGCTGAAGAAAGAATAAGAAAGTAAAAAAAGAAAGAAAGAAGAAAAATAAGACAAAAAATAAGAATGAGGTTTTGGAAAGAGCCAGTAGCCCCAGGTTTGAGAAAGCTCTAAATCTGCCTCATTGCGTGATCTTGGATAAGTCTCTTTTCACTCATATTTCATTTCCTTATTAATAAAATGAAGGATTTCTTTTTGCTTTTTAAGTTCAGGGTACATGTGCAGGTTTATTACATAGGTAAACTTTGTGTCATGGGAGTTTGTTGTACAGATTATTTTATCACCCAGGTGTTAAGCCTACTACCCATTAGTTATTTTTCCTGATCCTCTGCCTCCCCCAACCCTCCACCCTCAGGTAGCCCCCAGTGTGTGTTGTTCCCTTCTATGTATCCATGTGTTCTCATCATTTACCTCCCACTTATAAGTGAGAACACGTGGTATTTGGTTTTCTGTTCCTGCATGAGTTTGCTAAGGAAAATGGCCTCCAGCTCCAGATTTCAGAAATCTACATTTCTGAAAAGGACATGATCTAGTTCTTCTTTATGGCTGCATAGTATTCCATGGTGTATATGTACCACATTTTCTTTATCTAGCCTAACACTGATGGGCATTTGGGTTGATCCCATGTATTTGCCATTGAAAATGAAGTATTTCAACTTTGTTATCTCCTAGCCTTTTCTGTTTCCAAATTTCATGTTTTTATACTGTGATTCAGAAGCTTGCAGTAAAAACATCTTGCAAGTGTAGAGCTTAGATGTGAAAGCATATTCACATCCTTAATTTCATTTGATTGCAGATCCAAATTTACCATGCCAACAGGGGCTGAATGTTTTGTTATTTGAGAGACAAGAAACACACTGAGAAGTAAGAGGGTTTTCCCAATGTCACAACTAATAAATGGAAGAACGGTGACCAGCTACTCAGTTGGTCAAGCCAATTATAAGACACAAATAATAGCAATTACTAAGACCCTTGATGTTTGCTTCTTAAATTCATGAGTCTTTTTTTTTTTTTTCCTCCTTCACTTATTCTCTCACTTCTGAGCCCGTTTCTTGAAATCTCACAGTGGAGAAGGAGAAACTTTCTCATAAAGACAGAATCATAGGGCAGTGACATTGTGAGTTAAGCCCAGGACAGACACGTGCACAGGATCCTGAGGGAGCACAGCTGGAAGGGTAGGGAAGATTGTTTTTTAGGGAAGGCTCATTTGAAGGAAGAGATATGTGAGTTGAAACTTGCAAAGAAGAGGATGGAAGGAACAGGGAGCCTGCGTTTTGTTAAAAAGCATAGCACTGGCAAAGATGCAGATTCAATAAGCAACTCAGAATCTGTGGGGCTCCAATGGCAGTGGAGGGAGAGTAGAGGCAAAGAGTTCTAGGAGGTAGGGTTGGAGATGTGGTTAGATGCCAGATCCTGGAGATCCTGGGGTTCCCTACTTGGCAGTCATGACTTTGTCCAGTACGCAATTGAAGTGGGGCTGGGGAGCACAGAAGAGCATTAAAGATGGAAAGGCAGGTCAGGTAGGTACAGGTTGTCCCAAAAGTCTTAGTGGAGTTGTTTGTTTGTTTGTTTGTTTGTTTGTTTGTTTTGAGATGGAGTCTCACTCTGTCGCCCAGGCTGGGGTGCAGTGGTGCAATCTTGGCTTACTGCAACCTCTGCCTCCTGGGTTCAAGTGATTCTCCTGCCTCAACCTCTTGAGTAGCTGGGATTACAGGCATGCCCCACCACACCTGGCTATTTTTGGTATTTTTAGTAGAGGTGGGGTTTCACCACGTTGTCTAGGCTGGTCTCAAACTCAGGTGATCCACCTGCCTCAGCCTCCCAAAGTACTGGGATTACAGGCATGAGCCACCATGCCCGGCTGTTAGTAGAGTTTTAATCTTCAATAACTTGAGAAGTATGAATGCTATTAACTTTAAAAAAACTTGAAATTTAAAATATTCAAATTTCTGTTTTACTCATTTTGTGAATTTTGAAAGGTAAATTTTAGGTAAAATTGACAAATAAAAATTGTATGTATTTATGATGTACAATGTAATGTGTTGATGTACATATACATTGTGAAGTGATTACCACAGTCCATCATCTCCCAGAGTTACCAGTTTTATTTTTTATGATAGGAACATTTAGATCTGTTATCTTAATAAATTTCAAGTCTACAATACATTAATTATAGTTTGCATGCTGTGCAATAGAACTCTAGTCCTCATTCATCCTGCATAACTGAACTTTGCAACCTTTGACCAACATCTCGCCATCCCCCGACTCTCCAGCTCCTGGTAACCAATTTTCCACTCTGCTTTTATGAGTTTAACTTTTTAAGATTCTACATCTAAGTGACATCATCCAAAACTTGCCTTTCTGTGTCTAACTGGCTGCACTTAGCATAATGTCCTCCAGTTTAACCTTTGTTGTCACAAATGGCAGATTTTTCCTCTATTTAAAGGCTGAATAATATTCCAGTATGTGTGTATGTGTATATGTGTGTGTGTGTGTGTGTGTGTGTGTGTGTGTGTGTGTGTGAGAGAGAGAGGGAGAGAGAGAGAGAAAGAGATAGAGAGAGAGAGAGGGAGGGAGGAAAAGAGAGAGAGGCATAGATAGAGATATATCTATAATTAATTACCCCACAGTTTTTAAAATTCATTTTTCCATCAATGGATACTTAGGTTGGTTTCATATCTTGGCTGTTGTACATAATGTTGCAAGGAACATTGCAGATAACTCTTTGAGATACTGAGTTCATTTCCCTGTGGATATATGCCCAGAAGTGGGATTGCTGGATCATATAGTAGTTCTGTTTTCAATTTATTAAGGAACCACCGTAGAGTTCTCCATAGTGGCTGTACCAATGCACATTTCCTCCAACAGTGCATGAGGGTTCCTTTTTCTCCACATCCTCATCAACACTTCGCTTTTGTCTTTTTTACAATAGCCATTTTAACAGGTATGAAGTGTTATCTCTTTGTGGTCTTGATTTGTATTTCCCTGGTGATCAGCAATTTAGCATTTTTTGATATACCTGTTGGTTATTTGTATGTTTTCTTCAGAGAAATGTCTGTTTGTTTTCTTGCTATTGAGTTGTTTGAGTTCCTTATATATTTTTTATATTAACCCCTTATCAGATATATGATTTGCAAATATTTTGTCCCATTCCACAAGTTGTCTCTTTACTTTAGGAATTGTTTTCTTTGCTGCACAGAAGCTTTTCAGTTTGATGTCATTTCATTAGTTTATTTTTACTTTTGTTGCCTGTGCTCAAAGTCACCATCCAGACCAATGTCTTTTCTTTTGTTTTCTTCTAGGAATCTTATAGTTTCAGGTATTAAACTTATTTTGAGTGATTTTTTGTATATGGTATAAGATAGGGTGCAAATTAGTATTTCTGATTATGATATCCAGTTTTTCCAACACCATTTGTTAAAGAGACTTTCTTTTCCCCACTGTATATTCCCGGCACTTTTGTCAAAGATTAATTGACTGTAAATTCATGGATTTATTTCTGGGCTCTCTATTCTGTTCCATTGATCTGTATGTATGCTTTTATTACAATACTATGCTGTTTTGGCTACCATAACTTTATAGGACATTTTGTCTGATGCCTCCAGCTTTGTTCTTGCTCAAGATTGCTTTGGCTTTTCAAGTTTTTTTTGTGGTCCCATACAAATTTTAGAATTGTTTTTTCTATTTTAATAAAAAATAGCATTGAAATTTTGATAGAGATTGCAATAAATCTTCAGAATGCTTTGGGTAAGTATGCACATTTTAACACTATTAATTCTTCCAGTTCATGAATATGGGCTATCTTCCTGTTATTTCATCAATGTTTTATAGTTTTCAGGGGTGATGATCTTTCATTTCAGTTAAATTTATTTCTAAGTATTGTTAATGCTATTATAAATGGGATTATTTTCTTAATTCTTTTTTTGATAGTTTGTTGTTAGTGTATAGAAATGTCACTGATTTTTCTATGTTGATTTGTATCATACAACATTACTGAGTTTTTTTATTAGTTCTAACATTTTCTGTGGAGTCTTTAGCGTTTTCTATATATAAGATCATATCATTTCTAAACAGAGATCATTTTACTTCTTCCTTTCCAATTTGGCTGCCTTTTATTTCTTTTTCTTGCCTAATTGCTCTGTCTAGGACTTCCAGTACTGTATTGAACAGAAGTGATGTGAGTGGACATCCTTTTCTTGTTTCTGAGCTTACAAGAAAATCTTTCAACTATTCACCACTGAGTATGATGTCAGCTGTGGGTTTGTCATAAATGGCCTTTACTATGTTGAAGTACATTCTTGCTATACCTAGTTTGTTAAGTGTGTTTATAATGAAAGGTTGTTGAATTTTGTCCAGTGCTTTTTCTGTGTCTATGGAGATAATCATGTGATTTTTATTTTTCTTTCTATTAATATGGTGTAACACATTTATTAATTTGTGTATATTGAACCATCCTTGAATCCTAGAGGTATCACTTGATCATGGTATATGACTTTTTTACTGTACTATTGAATTTAGTTTGCTAGTATTTTGTTGAGGATTTTTGCATTACTGCTCATCAAGGATATTAACCTGTAGTTTTCTTTTCTTATAGTGTTTTTGTCTGACTTTAATATTAGAGTAATCCTGGTCTCATAAAATAAGTTTGGAAGTGTTTCCTCCTCTTCGATTTTTGGGAAGATTTTGTGAAGAACTGAAGTTAATTCTTCTTTAAAGATTTGGTAGAATTTATCAATGAAACCACATATTTCTGGATTTGTTGTTGTGAGGTTTTTGGTTTCAATTTCTTTAATCATTTTTGATCTGTTCATTTTTCTATTTCTTTATGATTTAGTCTTGGCAGCTTGTATTTTTCTAAAAATGTCTTCATTTCTTCTAGGTTATCCAATCTGTTAGGGTATAATTGTTCTTTGCAGTCTCTTACAATCTTTCATATTTCTGTTATATCAGTTGTAATATTTATGGTTTCATTTCTGATTTTAAGTCTTCTCTCTTTTTTAAGTTAATCTAGCTAAAATTTGCCAATTTTGTTTATTTTTTTAAAAACTATTTTCAGTTTTATTGATCTTTTCTATTGTGTTTCTAGTCTATATTTCATTTATTTCCAATTTATTATTAGTTTTTTTCTTCTGTTTTTTTTTTAAATAAACTTTCTCCCCTTTTCTCTTTCTCTGCTCCTTGTGATACCCTCATCATGTGAATTATCATATTGGTTTGCTTCATGGTGTCCCATAAGTCCTGTAGACTTTCTTCACTTTTTTTCATTCTGTTTCCTTTTTGTTTCTCTAACTAGGGAATTTCAAATTACCTGTCTTCAGACTCACTGATTGTTTTTCCTCTGCTTAATTGAATCTTCTGTTGAAGTCCTTTATTGAATTTTTCAGATTAATCATTGTGCTGTTCAACTCCAAAATTTTCTGTTTGGTTCTTTTTTGTGGTTTATATCTCTTTGTAAAATTTCCAATTTTGTTCATGTATTGTTTTCCTGATTTTTTTGGTCTAGTTGTCTATCCGTGTTCTCTTACAGCTCACTGAACTTCTTTAAGACAGTTATTTTGAATTCTTCATCAGACAGTTGTGGATCTGCATTTCTTTAGGGTCTGTTACTGGTGCCTTATTTAGTTCCTTAACAGTGCCATGTTTCTCCAATTATTCTTTATCCTTGTGGCCTTGCATTGGTGTCTGTGTATTTGAAGAAGCAGGCACCCCTTCCATTCTTGCAGACTGGATTTAGCAGGGAAATTCCTTCACCAGTAAGCCTGTCCAGAGATTCTAGGAAGCCTGTCTGGTGAAGTTTTGGCAAGCTTGCTGCTGAAATCCTCCAGTGGGTTGGCCTGGTGCTTGGGTCTACAGGGGCTGGCTTGGTGCCTGAATTTGTGAGGGCAGGTCTGGAACCTGGAGTTGCAGGGGCTGGCTTGGTCATGGGGTAGGCCTGGAGTCTTGTCCTGCAGAGGCAAGCCTGTGCTGGGATTTACTGGAGTGGGCCGGGTGCTAAGGTCCATGATGAAATTGGGTGCTCACCTCACTCTCTTTCCCTAACTCAGAGAGAATCTCTCTCCTCACTGTGTTGCCTGTGTTTGGGGAAGGGGTAACATGGGTGAAGCTATCCTTTCTACTCTCTTCAATATGTCTCTTTTTATTTCCATGCTCCACCTAGGTACTATAATCTCTCATCTGGATTCCTTAGTTCTTGTGAAGGTATTTTCATGCATGAATAGTTGTTCACATTGATGTTTCTGTGAGAGAATGAGCCCTGGAAACTTTTATTCTGCTATCTTGCAAACATTACTTCTAGGGAGACTAACATTTTATTTTTTTAATTAACGTAGACTAAAATTGACTTTTTGGGATTCAGAAGCAATGTCAATCTTAATACATATATAGATTCTTGCCACTACCACAACAAACAGAATACAGACATTTGCATGACTTAAAAAAACAAAAACCAAAAAACCTCCCTCCTTCTATTCTATTGATGTAACACCTGACTCCCTGTCAACCCCTGACAACCACTGAACTATGCTGTTACTTTAATGTTTAGCTCTTCAAGAATGTCACATAATTAAAAATTATACAATATGTAACCTTTTAAAACTGACTTCTCTCACTCAACAAAATGCCTTTGAAAATCATTCAAATTGTTGCATGTATCAATTGTTTGTTCCTTTTAATTGCTAGGTAGTATTCCATTGATTGACGTAGCACAGTTTGTTTATCCATTCACCCACTGAAAGACATTTGGATTGTTGTCAATTTTTAGCAGTTATGAATATAGCTCTGATTCAAACCTTCCCATACAGATTTTGGTGTGAACATAAATTTTTACTTCACTAGAGTAAATGCCTACAAATGGGATTGCTGGATCACATCGTAAGTGTATGTTTAACTTTATAAGAAGATGCTACACTGTTTTTCAGAGTGGCTGTCCCATATGAGGTTCCAATTTCTCCACATTCTCATCAACACTTGTTATTGTTAGTATTTTTTATTGGAGACATTATAACAAGTGTGTAGCATCTCATTGTGGTTTTATTTAGCATTACACCAATGACTGATGCTGCTGAATATGTTTTCATGTGGTTTTTGATAATCTTTATATCCTTTTTGGTGAAATGCCTTGCCTTCATCAGCTTGGGATGCTAGAACAAAGTGCCATACACTGGGTGACCTAAACACATTTACTTCTCATAATTCTAAAGGATTGGAAGTCCAAGACCAGGGTGCCAGCATGGTCAGGTCCTGGTGAGGGCCTTCTGTGGCTTGCCTTTTGACTGCCCTCTTGCCATATTTCTGGCAGTATTTCTGGCTGCCTTCTTGCTGTATTCTCACATGGAGAAGAAACATGGTGTTTCTTCCTCTTATAGTGACGTTAATCCTATCATAGCAGGTCTAAGCCCAAGTGTCAGAGCTTTTAGTTCTTGGGTTGGAATCTGGGACTTACCACCAGCAACTCATCCCAAGCCCCCTGGTTCTCAGGTTTTGGATCTCAGATTGGGAGTTACACTGTCAGTTCCCCCTGGTTCTCAGGCCTGAGGACACAGACTGAATTACACTTCTGGCTTTTCTGGTTCTCCGGCTTGCAGATGATGTATCAGAGGACAGCCTCCATAACCACATGAATCAATTCCTATAATAAATCTCTATCTATCTATCTATCTATCTATCTATCTATCTATCTATCTATCTATCTATCTATCTCTTATTGGTTCGGTGTCTCTGAAGAACTCTAGTACACGCTTCCTTAGAGTTTTAGGTTCCTTTGCAGCCCCACTGCCATTATTGTCATGGCCACCACCACAATTAGATTATTGGGTGTGAGAGAATGGAGAAAAGAAACAATAACAGCAAGGAATTTCCCTACTCTGTCTAAGCATTGGGAGATATGTCCCACTCCTTTATCAAGAACTAGGAGATTTTTCCTGGATCTCTCTCTGTTGGCACTAATGCACACCTCAAATACTGATCTTCCCCATCTGCCTGCTGCTATTTGCTTTTCAGAGTCCTCAAATAGTTGCTCCAAGAATTCTGTCTAGGTTTGACAGTTGTACTTAGTGGCAGGGACACATTGGAGTACATTTACTCTGTTTTGCTTGGGCTTGTGAAAGATAAATTTTTAATTTTAATTTTTTTGTATTAGTGAACATTTGCCATTTCCAATTAGAGGCATATTAGATGTCAAAGCTACTTACTCATGTGCACAGGGTACCTCCTGCAGTATAGAGTCTGACCAACTACCTGTGGTCTCAGCTGAGAGGCTGGGAGTCTCCAGAAAACTGGCCAGCATTCCTTGAAGGCAGG
Organism: Homo sapiens; assembly: GCF_000001405.40. NCBI lineage: Eukaryota > Metazoa > Chordata > Mammalia > Primates > Hominidae > Homo > Homo sapiens. Next base: position 4,525,091 of record NC_000020.11, on the reverse strand, counting down.
GATCAGCAACCGTATTTTCTGAAAGAACCAGATAGTAAATATTTTAGGTTTGTAGGCCATATGGTTTCTGTTTCAACTACTCAACTGTGCTGTTAGAGTGTGAAAGTAGTCATGGACAATATGTAAATCAGAAGGCACAGCTGCATTCCAAAACCATGTTATTTGAAAAAATAGCTGGTGGGCTGGATTTGGCCTGGGGACTGTAGTTCACTGACCCCTGATTTAAGAGGTCAGTCCCAGTTGGGAACAGCAGTTACTACAGTTACCTGTAGTGAGTTCCTGTCATCTTTGTCCAATTTTTACCACCCTAGAACAAGGGTTTCTAGCCTAGAGGCTCATAATCTAGGAAAATAAAAAATTTTTTCTCAATTTTAATTTCCATTAACCTATAATTTAAGATTCAGTGTTTCCTTTTAGTGTGAACGTAAGCAACTGTTAACAGTACCTGTGACTTTGCTACCAGTAGAAATTACAGGTCCTTCATTGTATTATGGTTCTTACAGCTGTCCCAAAATATTGTTTATGCTCATCACTATTTTAAAATCAGGGAAGTTCTCTGACCTGCCACTAGGTATTGTTTTGTGGATTAAAAAATTGTTACGTATTATATACTACACCACAGGAGGCAATGGTTCAACAATCCCAAATCCTTAGCTCTTGCTTTTTCTGTTTTAAGATAATTTATTGAGGTGAAATTTATACAGCATAAAATTAACCATTTTAAAGTGAACAATTTAGCGGCAGTTAGTTTATTCATGATATTATGCAACTACCACCTTTGCCTAGTTTGAAACATTTCCATCACTCCAAAGTAAAACCTCTTACCCAATAAGTTGTTTCTCCCCATGATTTCCTCCCTATGGTCCCCAAAATCCACTAATTTGTGTCCTGTCTCTATGAGTTTATCTCTTCTGGATATTTCATATGAATGGAATCATGCAATATGTGATCTTACGTGCCTGACTTCTTACACTTAGCATAATGTTTTGGAGGTTCATCCACATTGTAGCATATATCAATACTTCATCCCTTTTTATGGCTGAATAATATTCCATTTACGTATATATATCAACTTGTTATTTATTTATCTATTGATGGGGGTTTGTGCTGTTTCCATCTTTCGGCTATTGTGCTGTCATGGATATGTGTGTACATGAACTTGTTGGAGTACCTGTTTTCAGTATTTTGGTGTATATATCTAGTAGTGTAATTGTGGGGTCATGTGGTAATTCTATGTTTAACTTTTTGAAGAATTACCAAATTGTTTTCCTCAGTTGTTCAACCATTTTTAATTTCCACTAACAATGTACATGTTCCACTTTTTGTTTTTTGATTATAGCCATCATAGTGGATATAAAGCTCATTGAGGGTTTGATTTGGATTTCCCTAATAACTAATTATGCTAAGCATCTTTTCATGTGTTTCTTGGACATTCATATATCTTCTTTGGGAAAATGTCTATTCAAGTCCTTTGCCCATTTTTAAGTTGGTTTGTTTTCTTTTGTTCTTGAGTTGTAAGAATTCTTTATATATTCTGGACACTAGACCTTTATTGGATATATAATTTGCAAAATATTTTCTGCACAGCCATAAAAAATTATGAGTTCATGTCCTTTCTAGGGACATGGATGAAACTGCAAACCATCATTCTCAGCAAACTATTGCAAGGACAAAAAACCAAACACTGCATGTTCTCACTCATAGGTGGGAATTGAACAATGAGAACACATGGACACAGGAAGGGGAACATCACACTCCGGAGACTGTTGTGGGGTGGGGGGAGGGGGGAGGGATAGCATTAGGAGATATACCTAATGCTAAATGACGAGTTAATGGGTGCAGCAGACCAACATGGCACCTGTATACATATGTAACAAACCTGCACATTGTGCACGTGTACCCTAAAACTTAAAGTATAATAATAATAAAATAAAATAAAAAATAAAATAAAATAAAATATTTTCTGCCATTCTATAGTTGTCTTTTCACTTTTTCATAATGTTCTTTGATGTGCAAAAGTTTGTAATTTTGATGAAGTCCAATTCAACTATTTTTTATTTTGTTGCTTGTGCTTTTTGTGTCAGATCTAAGTGTCTATTGCCAAATCCAAGGTCACCAAGATTTACCTCTGTATATTCCTCTAAGAGTTTTATCATTTTAGCCTTTAACTTTATATCTTTTTTCCATTTTGATTTAATTTTTGTGTATTATATAAGGTAAGGATCCAATTTCATTCTTTTGCATATGGATACTAGTTTTCCCAACATCATTTGTTGAAAAGACTGCTTTTTCCCCATAAATGGTCTTGGCATTCTTGTTGAAAATTGAGTGTATATGCAAGGGTTTATATAATATCTGGGTTATCTGTTCTATTTCATTGGTCTATATGTTTATTCTTATGCCAATACTGTCACGGGATCCTTGGGTTGTCATTTCACCAGCTGGAAACCTCTGTGGCCAGTGGGGCCTTCTGCCTGAGTATTGCTCGTGCCCGCTGGGCTTGTTCTGCCCACATGGCCCAGCAGACTGTGCTTAGCTTGTGCTACCAGCCCAGATCCCACACCTGCCAAGGACAAGCTAGGCATAGAGTGGCGAGGGGTGTGTGAGGGAGCGAGCGCGGGGTCCAGCCACTGCACACAGCCAGGCATGCCAGCTGCTGCAGTGGGGCAGGCAGCTACAGGTGCCAGCTCTGTACAAGGCTGCAGCTGGACCAGATGTACTACATGTGGCTTTCACGTGGGCACCTTCATCTGGATGAAGGGAATGTGGTGGCTCCCAGAAGCTTGGAGATGCCAGGAACTGCAGAGCCCCAAAGAAGGTGTCATAGCCCTGGCTTGGGGATCCCCTAGGTTTGGGCTCCCAAGAAGGGCTGTAGCTCTTCTCTCCTTCTCAATGTACACAACGAACGTGGTGAGTGAGGGACGTGTTTCAGCCCTGTTGTGTTACAGCTCTTTCAGTCCCACCATTTGGTGGGTACTGAGTTCTTGTCCTGTGTCCAGGAAGAATGAAGTACGAGGACAACTAGAGGGTGAGCAAGGCAGAGAGGAACTTCACTGAGCACCAGAACAGCTCTCAGGAGACCTGAATTGGTATCTCCTGCCCACAGTTGGTCATCCCCGATGTCTCTGTGAGTCTGGCTGAGTCTTGAGGTGTTTATGGGCTTCAGAAGTGGGGACGTGTGTGCTGACTGGTCCATGGGCAGCCATGGGTGGGCCCAGAAAAACCGTAACTTCTCCAGGTTGGGACTCCACCCAGAACTGACAGCCCACCCCTCAAATTTCAGGCCATCCCTGGCTTGAGGACGGGGCTTCATGGGGACCAGCCCCTTTCTGCTCAGGAGTCTGTCTGCCTCCTGCTGCCATTGATCATGCCATCCACGGTGCCTGAGCTGTTTGTTCTGAGGAGTGCCTGCAGGCCTGCATTGAGCCACGCTTGGCACCCCTCTTCGGCCTCACTCTTGTGCTTGTGGCCACCCAAAGTTCAGAGGGGGCTGAGGCGGAAGGGTGCTGAGGTGGCAGGGGTCTGGCATGTTAGTGCTGCCCCAAGTGCATGCACACCCGGCCAGGTCATGACAGTGCCTGGGCTCGGCCTCAACTTTGCTTTGAAATCAGAGTGGGTGCCTGGAGTAGGGAGAGGCCAAGCAGGGGAAAGAGGCACTCCCAAGCCTGTAGGGGCAGAGGGGGACTTCCTGGGCCCCTGAGAGTGGAGGGATGCCCAGGTCCACGGCCATGGTTGGGCGGTTGCAGCTGTGCCCGGAAGGGCAGGGCTCCTACGCCACCAACTTGGAAGGGGATAGGGCTCTGGCCTGTTCCTGGCTCCCACCCTCTCCGTGGAGCCTGCAGCCCTGGCCACGCCTCTTTTCCTGCAGCCAGCATCTTCCCAGCAGCCGCTCCAGGTGGGCCACCACTGCTATCAGTACCACACTTAAAAAAAAAAAAAAATCACTGTAGATTTTGTAGTAGGTTTCAAAATTGAGAAGTGTAAGTCCTCCAACTTTGTTCTTCCATTTCAAGATTGTTTTGGCTATTTAGAGCCTCTTGCAATTCCATATGAATTTGATTGTTGACTTTTTCATTTCTTAAAAAGTGGCCATTGAGATTTTGATTGGGATTGCATTGAATCTGTACATATCTTTGGGTAGTATTGACATCTAAAGAATATTAACTTTTCCAATCCATGAACACAAGATGTCTTTTCATATATTTAGGTCTTCTTTGATTTCTTTCAGCAATGTTTTATTGCTTTCATTGTACAGGTCATTCACCTCCTTGATTAAATTTATTCTTAGGCATCTTATTCTTTTGGATACTATTATAAGTGGTATTGATTTCTTAATTTCCTTCCCAGATTGTTCATTGTTGGTTTATTGAAACACAAATTATTTTGGGGTGTTGCAAGTTGTACCTTGCAACTTTTCAGAATTTGCTTATTACCTCTAGTAGCTTTTTTTCTTGCAGATTCTTTGGAGTTTTCTATAATAGGATCATGTCATCTGTGAATAAAAATAGTTTTATTTATTCTTTTCCAATATGTCTATCTTTTATTTTTTTTCTTTTTCTTGAATACTTGCTCTGGCTAGGACTTTTGGTACAACATTAAATAGCAGTGATGAAAACAGGTATCCTTGTCTTGTTCCTGTTCTTTGTCCATAATCTCACCTCTCAGCTTTTATTTTAAGAATTTTTTGCCACAGAATCCCTGGTTTCCCAGAGAGTGGACAGCAGCTTCCTTTGAAATTGAGCCTTTGTAGCTATGTGGGCTCCCACTGCTGTACCTTAAAATAAGGAACCTGTAAACCTTTATAGGGACCAACCATGCCTATTCCTATTCCTGATAGTCAGTGAGAAAAGAAAGAGACAGAGCCTAGAAAACAGGCTGTGCTTTATATATTGACAATAATAATCAGACCTAACCATGAAGACAAAATGCTTTCACTTTGATCCTCTCAACAGTCCCCACCTGCAAATGTGGAGCATCACACAGTGTGAGCATCACACAGGCAGTGACTGTCTCAGTTTTGATGACTGAGGATATTTAGCCTTAACCTTGTCCCTTGATCCTTAGGACCCAAGGAAAGCCTGAAGGACAAGGTCCTAAAGCACTCTCCAACATGGCTCTGGGACAGCCCTTGGGCATTTCTTTCTTCTCTTTACTTATGGTAGCTAATCAAGGTAGCCCATGAGCTACCTGCCAACCTGCTGGATGAATTAAGTCTTGGTTGCCTCTGGTGTTCTCTGGCTTTGTGGTGGCTGCTTCCAGGTGCTGCCCCATTTTCTGTGAAACAAAACCCTACCCACCTCAACTGCCGCCAAAGCCTGACCCTGGGAAAAGCAGTGTAGCCCCAAGCCCTCTAGGAGGCACTGTTGGCCCCAATTGCAGAATCTTGAACTACATCAAGCCCTTAGGTGCCCTTGGAAACATTCCAGTGCCCAGTGGGGACCTGGATGCCAACACCAGCCATCCCGCAGCCAGCCATCTCATGTTGTTGGCATCATGTAGATATGTATTCCTTAAATAAAGTAAAACAAAATGTGTGCTGTTGTAAAATGCAGACTATACAAGAAATGTCAAAAGGGAAGGGCTATTTTTTTCCTTGCACTTCCCAACCAGGAGATCTAATTCCCCTGAGTGTGCTTAGCAGAACTTGCCTGCAGTGCTCCGAGTGAACAGAGGATTTGGCATGTAAGGGGCGCACAGTCCTCTCATGCTCTGCCTTCAGAGGGTCCCAATGGAAGTCCCAGCAATGCTGCTTACTGTCCAGTTAGCAGTGTGCTCTTCAACCTCTTCCCTACTTGTAAAGTGGGAATGATGAGAACACATATTCTACAGGGTGGCTTTTAGGATTGAACTAGAAGATGCATGTTTACCTCCATGTTTGGCACAAGGTAACCTTCAATGATGGGGTCCATGAGTGAGGAGAGATGGTTCTGAGCCTGGATGAGCATAATGGTGAAAAATACAATTCTGAAAATAATAGGGGTCTCCATTAGACCCCCCACAGGCAACTCAGGCCACCATGTCTCTCTGAGCTGCAGGGGCCAAGACAGCTGGCAAGCCTTGTTCAGGTTGTCGGCTTCTCCGCCTGCCCCGGTGGCTGCCACTTATCTTACCTTTCCTGCCTGGGCTTCTGGTTTCCAATAGAATCCAGCTCGAATGTGCTGAGCTCCCCCTTACCTCAAGCCAGGGCCTAAGCTACCCCATGTGCAGGGTTTTTCCTCCCCTGGTCAGAACCATCATGCTAACCCTATAAATCTGTGACCCCAGATGCAAAAAGGCTGAAGTTTTGGGGAGAGCCTCCCCCATAGTGTGGGTCATTTTCCTCCTTTTCTAGTCTTCACTGCCCCTTCCATTGTCTAAGGCAGGGGCCCCTAACCTAAAGCTCCATGTGGGTCTAGAAGTAAAATTTTAGGGGGCCTGTGGACTTGGACAGGAAAGAATTACATCTTCATTTCTATGGATTTATGGTTGAATTTTAGCATTTCCTTCTATTATGGAAGTAGCTAACACAGTTTAATGGAATTAGCAGTAACTGTAACTTTGTCATCAAAGGAATTCACAGATATTTTTATATCACATGTCAGTGACAGATTGTTTATGTTAACCACGACTTCAAAATTAGAGTCATTATTAGACCTAGAGCTAGGTCTTGTATTGAATAGAGAGCTGCTCAGAGAATGGTTCACAAAGAGGTGCCAGCCCATGAACTCTTACAGATTCATGACCAAGTAAGAAGAGGCATTGAGAGGAAGATTTAGAAACTTTTACAACAATTTGACACAATAATTTAATATACTTTGGGTCTGAGAATAATGGGATTTGTATTTCCCATTCTTTTTTATTTCATATTTTTATTTTATAAAAGTTGTCAGTCCAAGATGGATTGGAAAAATAAATTCGTCCTTTTCGACAGATAGTTTGAAAAGCACTGATTTAATGGGTTAACAGGGAAGCAAACATATTTTTAAAAAATGCTTTCATAACTGTATTTCAACCTAATTGTTTTCCTTTGTATTCCTATACTGTCTTATTGAAAACATCATTCTGAAATAGAGTCAGTTTACTTCCCCAGACTTCTAGAGGAGTCCACGGCATAAAAAGAAGTTAGGGGCCGGGCACTGTGGCTCACGCTTGTAATCCCAGCACTTTGGGAGGCCGAGGCAGGCGGATCACGAGGTCAGGAGTTCAAGACCAGCCTGGTCAACACAGTGAAACCCCGTCTCTACTAAAAATATAAAAATTAGCTGGGCGTGGTGGCGGGCGCCTGTAATCCCAGCTACTTGGGAGGCTGAGGCAGGAGAATCGCTTGAACCTGGGAGGCAGAGGTTGCAGTGAGCCAAGATGGTGCCATTGCACTCCAGCCTGGGCGACAGAGTTAGACTCCATCTCAAAAAAAAAAAAAAAAGAAGTTAGGAATGCCTGAGTAAGGGCTTTGGGGCCCCTTAATCCTACTCTTTGTCTCACAGTGGAGCAGGCTTATCTCTCATTTCAGTCCTGGGACATAGGTGAATGCCCTTCTCCCCCATTTCCTGCTGTGTTGAGGGGCCGGTATGTTCAGGGTTTTAGCTTCCCTCCTGTCCTTCCCTCGGCCTGTTGATTTCCAGTCCAGCCACACTTTCCCCCCTAGATCTGTAGAAGGATCCTCTGTCTCCCTAGACTTGTTTCCACTATGTCCTTTCTTACCATTTCCAAAATTAGGATTAACCCTCTCGTAGAATTTGTACTTGCCTTAATCCTACACCTATTTCAAAATCCAGCCAAAGCCCAGCTTCCTCAAAGGAGATCAAGAAGACCTGCCCATCCCACACAAATCTCTTCCTTTCCTGAGATGCCATCTGACCAGGACCTGGTGGCATGGGCAGAAGACTGGACAGGAGGTGGGGGCAGGTGGTGGAATGCCTACCCCTTCAAGCTGGGGTCAGAACAATGACAGCCAGGATAGTAGGGGGAACACGTTGCTAAGCAATGTCAAACTGTGCCAAGTGTTAGGGAGGCAAATACAGACTCACAGTGCCCAGAAAAAAATGGTCATTTGATTGTGTTGTGTTCATGCAACATTGCAGTGAGTCACATGTGTGTTGGCCATGTGGGTTGCTGAAAAGGTAGAAGGAAGTAGTGTTAGCAAAAGTAAAAACATTTTACCAGGAAAGTTCTATGGTTATGTGTGTGTTTGGCATAAGCATCTTTTAAAGGTTCAAGAACCTTCCTTCATTATATGTGATATATAAATATTACTCTCTCTCTCTCGCTGTCTCTCTCCACATATATATATATATATAAAGTTGATTTAAGAATTGGCGACTGTGACCTTGGGCCAGTTACTTTATCTATACCTCATTAGACTCCTCATCAGCAAAATTGGGATAATAGCCCCTACCTCTTGGGGCAAATGAGGACTAAAATGTGCAGAACAGTGCCCAGTATTGTGTTAGTGCTTATAAAATAAAATCTTCATTGTATAAATGAAGAATTAGAGGTACCAAGAGATGTGTCCTGTGAAGAGGGAGATATTCCTTTTGCTCTGTCTTTATTCTGGCTGGGTTTTGCCCACTCCTTACTAGTGTCTGTCCATTATCAAAGACAAAGATGGCCAGGTGTGGTGGCTCATGCCTGTAATCCCAGCACTTTGGGAGGCTGAGGCAGGACAATCACTTGAGTCCAGGAGTTTGAGACCAGCCTGGGCAACATGGTGAAATCCCATCTCTACAAAAAATACAAAAATTAGCCTGGCATGGTGGCATGCACCTGTGGTCCCAGCTACTCAGGAGGCTGACTTGGGAAGATCGCCTGAGCCCAGAAAGTAGAGGCTGGAGTGAGCTGTATAACACTACTGCACTCCACTTCAGCCTGGGGGCCAGAGCAATACTCCATCACAAAAAAATAAAAAATAAAAGTACAGTTGCTTAATTTCACTGCTGAGCTTGCAGACATGATAAGGCCATATCTACTCGTGGGTCAGAATCCCTAGCATTAAAGGTCTTGCCCATGCATGGCTCTCCTTCTCTAGGCCCCTCTTCTGTTCATATGGTGGACCTCTCTCTCCAGCCATCACAGGCACCCATGAGCATGTTGACATTTGCTTTTGGCTTAGATTTGCATTCTCCAACACAGCGTCAGGAGGCCTCTGGTAATTAATATCCAATAACTCCTCTCCAACACAGAGCTCAGCACATTTGATTAGTTGTCTTCTGATGGCTAGATTGGCTTCCCCTAAACTCCAGCCCTATCATTCCCTTGGAGAGGGGTCCAACAGTGGGGACAGACCCCTTGTACACCCTAATGTTTGGGATCAACAGAATGGCATTTAGAACACAGCCAATTAGCCTCAAGACTGTCTAAGATTAAGATCTGGATGAGGAGAAGACCCGTTATCAGTATCAGAGCACTGTCCCCAGGTCTTCCCAGCCTCCTCCGCTTTCACATCTCACCATCCTCTGTAATCACTTGCATGACTTCCAGGATAAGGAAATGGACCCAAGATCAGTCCACTTGCAGTCTTGGGGGAATAAATAAAACATTCACATGCCTATTGGAAGCAAGGAGGTAAGCAATGTGTCACCCACAAGCTCAAAAGGTAAACTCTTCTTCAAATTCTATATAGGCCAAGATTTTCTCCAAATTATAATGCATTCTCCAATCGCCTTCTAACTCTGCTCCCTCCCACCATGAAGACTACCTACCTTCCATGATAAGCACATGGGGATCACTATTAACAGAAGCAGACAGGTGAAACTTATTGTTTCTCTTCCTCCTTATACTTGTCCTCCTCTTCCTCCTCATCCTCCTTTCTCATCATTGTCATTATCATGTTCATTATCACACTATCTCCAACATTTGTTACATCTAACTATGTGCCACATACTGAACCTAAATTATTTAATTTAATCCCCTCAATGACCCTATAAGGTACATGCTATGATTATAGCACTGTTCTCTTTCCTTGTTGGAGAGGTTATGTAACATGATAGTTAAGAGCTCCGCTCTGGAGTCAGCAGACTTAGATTCAAATCTCACTACAATGCTTATTACCTGTGAAACCAGTTATTTAAACTCTATACTCTTCAATTTCTTCATCTATAAATAGGGATATAGTGCCAATGTAGGGCCTACCTGGTGCCTAAGGTTCCTACTGGAAGTAGAAAGGGAAAGAGAGAAAAATAGGGAGAGCTAAGTATGATTACAGAAAGATGTTTCTTACAAGTAAATGGTGTGATTTGGCTGTAAACCGAGAAGAGATTAAGGTAAATGAGTGATTACAAAAGAGTTGGTTGAATCAGAAGAACCTTTGGTCCAGAAGATCATAAAAAGTACATGGGCTTTGATTTCCAACATGTCCCAGCTCAGGGACCGGAAATGCATAACCTTGGCTGTGGGAATCTGGGGAACTGAAAATCTGGTGGAGCCTATTCTGTTACCCAGCTCTCCCCTGGAGGAACCCCACCTTGGCTGTCATATTGGCATTCCATGCTGTTGGGAGCCTCTGGACAGGAGGACTTCCCTCCCCAACAGCTGGTCTCCTTCTGCCTTTGGGGCTCTGTTGGACCAGCTTGAAGAATATCTCCAACATACCCACTCCTATGTGGCCAAGGAGATGGGTTTGGGGGACAGAAAGTAACCATCTCTTCAGCACCCTCATCTCTTCCTACATGCACACACACTCACAGGCACAATATCTGCATAGACTTGCCACCTATGAAGGTGTCAGTGCTTCTTCTCCCAATACCTGGTTAGTGACTTGTGTATGAAAACTACAGAAACCTGTAGACCTAGGAAACAAAGACACTTCCAAATCTGGAAGTCCCAATTTGCAGACTGGATTTCCAAAGATGTTTTGGGTTTGATGGTTGGACACTGTCATTGACACTTTTCTTAGTAATAATATTCTTAATGGTGTTTGTGTCCCCATAAAAGCCTATATCACTCAATGTGGCTGAAATGTTGTATATTCACAATAAAAATATAAAGTTTCAATATTCATAAATAGTATACCAAATGTTAGTATTGAATATGATAAAGGCATTTCTGGGGCATCTTGAATATTGATGGTTGATAACAAGAAAATGTATTAGAGGAGGAGAAGAAAGTTGATAAAGAATTTTACAATCTCTGGACATCAGTAGATGTCATGAAACACTTTGATTTTTCTTGAAGTGTAGCCCAAGCATTACTCATCTTAACCTTGATTAAGGTTGTTTTTGGCTCACATTCAGACCACAGGAACTGGGAGAGAGAGTAAGAGAGGAAAAGGGAGGAAGAAAAAATAAGAGAAAAAGGAGGATGAGGACATGTGTAATGATGGATTTACAAATGGAGAAATGTCTTGTTTGATGTGAAATTCCCTACCATGAATGGGGAAAGGCAATGGAAAAGGGAATATTTAGAAATAAATATCAGGTCAGACAGATATTTGTACCAGTTTCCTTCTTGGTTGCTGTCTGAAGCTGGAGGAAAGGCATGAGAGTGTGGGGGGATGGGGGATTTCAGAGTGGTCAGAGGAAGTTGGGGGATGAATCAAAATTAAATTTTACATGTATAAGTCTTTGGAGAGTTAGACATTTCTAACCTAATGAGTGTCTGTGTTTGCTTTGTCCATAATAACCTCTCATAAAATGCTTATAAAGCTGAATACTTTGTGATATCTCATTCTGTTACCATTTCCATTGTCTAGAGTTTGACATTGACATTGCCAGAAAGTAAAATTTCTGGGTCTAAGGTACATTCTCCCATCCTTCAGCTGGGTCAATGTGTTCCATGACTTCATGCATATATGCGAATGACCTACCCCCAGGCATCACAAATCCTCTTGATCCATGCCAAACTCCATCTCTACTTGAGTTGTTGAGTTTCACACAATTGAGACACCTGATTAAATACATATTGTCTCTCTACTGCAGTGGTAAGAAAGAAGAGGGAAGAATTTTGTGAATGGAGATATTTCTCTCAGCTAGACATGGCAACTTAATAGAAATAGTTATCAGGTGAGTCATCCTTGACTCATCCTTTATGAATGGAAAATTAAGCCGTGCAATGAAGTTCTCAGCCTTTGTTCTCGAGTCTGGAACATGCCTCACATGATAGGTTGGTGCCTAGTGAATCAAGATTATAATAGTTGGGTTCTTAAATAAGAAAAGTTCTTCTCAGGGTGAGATGTCCAAAATGCATGTCCTCAACTTGAAGAACAAAGTCAGGTGTATAAAAGGCTCTTAATGAATATTTATTGAGTGAACTAATTTATGAATGAATAGGTTGGTGAGGAAGAGAGAAGAGCGGAGGGTTACTCTTAGTTTCTGGCTTGGGGAACAGTGTTGGCTTGTGGTAGTATTAACGAAGAGGATATACAGTAGGAGGAGGTCTTGAAGGTTGGGTTAAAAATCAGTGTTATGGTGAGTTCAGTTATGGACATGTTGAACTGAGGAGTCTGCAGGACATTCAAGTAGATACCTGGGTGGTTGTTGTGCAGAGTGTGTATTATGAAAATAAAAAAGGTCTTGCTGATATAAAGAGAGTTTTGCCAGGATTAATTCTCTTTTCTTCCCTTCCACTCATTTAATCTTTCTTTACAGCTTTTCTACTTTCTTTTCACAAACATTTCTGGGTTGGCTGTCATTTGCAGAGATTTGTGTTAGGTACTGTATATACATGAGAAGGAACAGTTTTAACTCATTCATTTAACAGTTTTATTGAGCTCCTACTACGTTCCAGACCCTGGCTCAGTTGTTATATTGGTCTGTATACAAGTGTACAAGTAGACATAGTCCCTTCTCAGGAAGAATTCAAATCATTTAAATAATAAGGCACAAATTTGTGAAACAAGTAACTGTTCAAAATTAAAGATCATTCTTTGCCTTCAACATAGGACATGTATATATTAAATGATCACTCCAAAGTCAAATAAATGATTTTTCAAAATTGAACAAAGATTTCCTATGAGAAATCTTTAGCAGGAATTAATTGGGCCATTCACTTACAATCCTTCTTACCATATTGAGCCTTTTAAGAATCTATATTTTTAAGTGGCCCTGCAGAGAAGTCCTTTGTCCGTAGTATAGATGGTGGGAAAACAAACCCCATGAGGTTTCCAAAGCTCTAGCTACTAAGAGGAGACTGAAGTTTTGAAAGGGTCCCTTAGTAATGGAAATGCTAATGATGACTGGAGTTCATTACTGTAATTGCTATGTTTTTGCAAACCTGAGTAATAGATGATCTCATTCAATCCATCAAGCACTGCTTTACAAATCCAGGAGTGTGAAGTTTTAAAAACAACAACATTAATTCAGTTGTTTCATTTTTAATATGAATTCTGACTAATTTAGCAAACATTTTTTTAAAATTTTAAAAGGAAATACAAAATAAAACTATAATACAATGTACTTCTAAAAGAAAAAAGTCTGAAAATACCAAAGGTTGGCAAGAATGTAGAGCAATTAGAATTGTCATATATTTCTGTTGAGATTAAAACTTGATACAAACACTTCAAAAAATTGTATTATAGTTTCTTATAAAGTTAAACATAACTACATTATGATTCCTGGCTATATGGGCTGAGTGCCTATTTTCACCAAAATGTATCTACGAAAATGTCTATACTAGCATTTTACATAGTACCTCAAACTGGAAACAAACCAAATGCCATCAATAGTAGACTAGATTAACTTGTTGGGATATATTCATACTACTACATACTACTCCTCAGAAATGAAAAATAAAACACAACTGCTCCATGCAACATGGATGAATGTTCAGCAAAAGCCAGACACAAAATAATACATGCTGCGTAATACCATGTATATGAAGTTCCAGCACAGGCAAAACTAATTGATGATGATAGAGTAGTGGTTATGTTTACAGAATATTGGCTGGGAGGATTTGAGAGAACATTTTGGGGCACTGCAAATGTTCTACATCTTGATCTGGGTGATGGGCCACACAGGTTTAAAAAGTCACACACTTTTAGGATAGAGATTCTTTAAAGGCATGAAATGGTAGGCAGATGAATTTTTAAAAGAACAAGATATTGAAATAATGTAAGTGGAAGAAACCATGACTATTCTGAACTTATAGTAGGTGATCAATAAAAGTTAATTAAAGTAAATGACCCACCTTCAGAGTCCAGGCAGCAAGCAATGTCAAGGCAGGCAGAGAGTGGAACTGTGGGATGCAGGGAAAAGTGAGTGGCTGGGGGCAATAATGGGTCATCTAGAGACTTGCTCCCTTGTTTGAATGAACTGGACATTTTCCTGGGACTGCAGGTGTGAGCACTGCAGAGAGAGGTGTGAGATGTGTTCCCCTTCCGTGTGAGGAGTATGGCAAAGTGCCCATTCTGGAGAGTACCTCTCCCTACTTTGGCCCGGATGTCCCAGCCTCACTCAGTGGGGCCATATGGTCCTAGGGTTGTGCTGAAACTGATGTTTGAGGAACTTAGAAGCAGAGTCTGCCCACCATTTCATGGGAGGGGCAGTTAAGCAGCTGCTGAAGAGCACTCTCCACTTGGTCACAGTACATCCACCATGTTGGTTGCATTAGGCAGGCACCAAGGTCTGATAGGAAGAGCAAGGGTGTTCCCTTCCCATGCTTGCTCACAACAAATCAGAACTGCAAGCATATCACTTGGGCCCATTTGCTTATTGTCTTCCCAGCACCACAACCTTCCTTAGAGAAGGAAAACAGAATCTAAAAGAGAACAGGATGAGAAGGTCCCATTTCCAGTTTCCATTATTCCAACACCCTGCTGTGAAGCATTTGCTGAACATTCTTTGAACTTCAGTGTCCTCAACTGTAACAAGGGATCACTGCTGAGTCACCCACATCCTGGGCTCTTTAAGAGAATATAATGAGGAAGCTGATATAAAAATGCCTGTGAAAAGTTAAGCATTTTCCCAATTAAAAATAAAAACAACAGATGACTTGAACAAAACTTTTACACAAGAAAATACACGAGTGCCCAGAGAGCAAATGAAAAGATACCCAATATGAGTCATCAAGAAAATGCAAATTAATACCACAAATATCCCTTCACACTCACTCAGGTGACTAAAATTAAGGATTGACAATACCAAGTGTTGGTGAGATGGCAGAGCAACTAGAACTCTCATACGTTGCTGGTGAGAACATTAGCTGATACAGGGACTTTGGAAACTGGCCGTTAAAAAAAAATTAACATAACTCCTAGGTATATATACAGGAGAAATAAAGGCTTATGTCCACAAAAAACACTAGTACAAGAATGTTTATAGCAGATTTTTCTTAATAGCTGCATCCTGGAAACAACCCAAAAGTCTATCAACAGGAGAATTGATAACAAAATAGTGGCATAGTCATACAATGGAATATTATACAGCCATAAAAAATAGTGAACTTCTGATTCAAACTGAATGTATCTCAAAACAATATGCTGAGAGAAAGAAAGTGAGATAAACTACATACTGTATGATTCAATTTATGTGAAATTCAAGAATAGACAAAACTAATGTGTGGTATTAAAAATCAGAGTAGAGCTGGCTCTGGGGTGAGGTGGGATAGGATCAACTGGAAAGGTGCAGTGTTGACATCTTGATTTAGGTGTTTGTTCACATAGGTGTATACATTTGTCAAAATTCATCCAACTCTGTGTATATTTAAAATCTATGTATTATAAATATGTAAATTATATGCTTCAATTTTAAAAGTTGTGGGTTTCTTAGTATCATAGAATCAAAAGACATTTTACATGTTTAAAAAGTATAAAAAATATAGACATTATATTACAGAAATTATAAAGAACAGAAATTCTCCAATTAACTATTTTGATTTATGTCCTTCCAGGATTTTTCTATATGTACATTCTTTTCTTTGCTGAATCAGACTTCTAAAGGTAATAGTGCAATGCTTTCATTTACAGAGGAAGATACTGAAATCCAGGTGGACAAACAAGTCAAGGTTGGTCCTGTACAAACCAGTTGGGACCGACTCAAAGCTAGTTCTTCAAGCTCCAACCCTGTGGTACTATAAAGAATATATCTGGTATATAACAATTTATATATAATAAAGAATATACCCCTGGTTCCTGGCACAGAGCTTCAGAAACCTTTGAAATTTCCTGAGTGATTGGAGTATCTTTGTTATGCTAATGAGGTGACTCATGGTAGCTAGCATCAGGATGGGGGCTGGTCCTTAGAAACACCAAATGTGATTAGAGGGTTGGGATTTTCAGTCCTCGAGGAGAGGAGAGGAGGACTGGAGATTGACTTTAATCCCATGGCCAATGATTTAATCAATTATGTCTATGTAATGAAACCCCAGTGAAAACTCTGGACATCGAGGCATGGTGGAGTTTCCTGGTTGATGACCACGCTGATGAGCACGGAAACTCTGCATCCAAGACCCCTCCAGATCTTCCTCTACATGTATCCTTAATAATAAAGGTACAATCATAAGTACATTGCTTTCTGTGAGCTCGGGGAGCCATTCTAGTGAATTATGGAAACTGAGAGGGTCACGAGAACTCCCAAATTTACAGCCAGTTGGTCGGAAGTGGCCTGGGGCCCTTGAAGTGCAGCTGGCATTTGAAGTGAGGGCAGGCTTGTGGATGACTTTGCCCTTCACCTGTGGGATCTGTGTTAACTCTGGGTACTTAATATCTGAGTTGAATTGGAGAACATCCAGGTGGGGTCAGACCAGTTAGGGTAAAGATGGAACAAATCCCTTTTCCTGTCCGATTTCTAGCTTGTCAGTTGACTTGGTGCCCATCCCAATGCCACCTTCTCTCATCTCACCCTAAGTGCCCTGAGAGTTCAGGTCTCAGTTCTCCACTTTTGTGATCCAGAACCAGCAACGCCAATAACGCCAATCACTGACTAAGCTTTTACTCTGCACCAGGCCTTTACACCTCTCACCCTTCTAGCATACAATACCATGCAGTAGACATTATTATCATCCTTATTGTGCAGACAAGGAAGCTGTGGCTCAGAGAGGAAAAAAATCGCTGCTCAAGTCATAGAAGTTAGTAAGTGACGAGGCCTGCTGGTTCCACACCTGTTTCCTTCCGCTAAACAACATCACCTCCAAAGCCAAAATTCTCTTTCTCTTCTGTCAGTTCTTATGACTTTTGTCCCCTTAGCTCCACACAGAAACCATATCCTCTCTCCCCAACACTATTTCCATAAATATTTGTTAATTTTTATTTGATCACAAATGCATTTATCTGAGAACTAGAGTCCCTGAAGAGCAGGAGCAAAGCAGAGACCATTAAGAGACGAACTCTGCTCTGCTTTTTGGACCCTGTCAAATTTGTTACTCTTTCCACTGAACTTGTTAGTTAAGGTCAAGTCTTGTTAGCTTTGAAAATTCCACACTGGTCCCCAAGGCCAAGGAGATGACCCCAGGCATCTGGGAGGGATCAGGATTCTAATTCCAGGAGAGGAAAACAGCTCCCTGTTACTGATTGCAAGGGGTTGTGCTCTCCACAATCGTTATTTTAATCAATTTCCCTGTTCGGAGTGCAGGGCAGCAGCCTTCTAAGCATCGAGGGAAATTAAACACATAAATCATTCAACCGCCCTCCCTCCACCCCCTCAAAACACACATGGCGCTATGGAGAATTGCATCAATACAGCAATTAGTCCAAGGAGGAAGAGCTAGTCTCCCTCCATCTGATTCAAAGTCAAACTTCCTACAGCATACCTTGCATTTTCTACTTCTATTATCATTTCCTCATAGTACATGACTAAATTCAGAAGATTTCCTATTAAGGAGATTTAAATAGCACACTCGTCATCAGATTTAATTGCATTCTTTCATTTCCTTACACAAGTCTGTCATTTTAAAATAGTCTACAGCAAAGTCAGACACCTAAATGTTGGAAGCCATGTGTTGGGGCAGAAGAGAGAAAAATCTGGTTTCCAGCAAGGACCCCTATAATCTTCATTCCCCTTCTCTCGACTCAGGAAGAACCTATTTGATTCTCTCTGAAAGCAAGTTGAGAGTATATTGAATCATATATATATTCTGAAGTTCAACTGTAGATCAGTTGATTATTTTTCTTCATTTTATTATTTTAGTAAGATATTTATCACATAAAATTTGCTATTTTAACCATTTTTAAGCATTCAATTTAGTGGCATTAATCATACCTACAATGTTACATGTAGATATGACCACCATTATTTCCAAAAATTTTTCATCACCCCAAACAGAGACTCTGTACCCATGAAGCAGTAATTTCCTATTCCCCTGCCCCCAGCCCCTAGTAATTTCTAATCTTATTTCCATCTTTATAAAGTTCCATCTTGATAAACCTATTCTAGATATTTCAACTAAGTAGAATAATACAATATTTTCTTTTGTGTCTACCTGGCTTATTTCATTTAGCACAATGTTTTCAAGGTTCGTCCATTCATTTTGTAGTAGGTGTAAAAACTTCACTCCTTTTTATGGCTGAATAATATTCCATTGTAAGTACATACTACACTTTGTTTATACATTCATCTGTTAATGACACTTGGGTTGTTTCCACCTTTTGGCTATTGTGAATAATGCTGCCTCAAACATGTACATACAAATACTTGTTTGAGTCTCTATTTTCAGTTCCTTTGGGTATATACCTAGGAGTGGAATTAATGCATCATCTTTTTATAAGCGTGTGGGTCTGCACTTGTTCGGCCGTAAGATCTTCATATTTCTGTGACTGTCAAACTCTTCTTCCTCCCTCCATCCCTCTCCTCCTCCCTATCTTTCTCTAGAATAGTTATTTCTTTTTGGTTCATGTGCCTCCAGACATTTTTCCTATTCATTACTAAATTTACAACCATATCGAAAATATGTAGTATTGTATAGCTATTTTTATATAAACACTATCATACTGTATTATTTTGAAAATTGTATTCACTCAACAAAGTGACTTTAGATACTTTCTGTGCAAATAGGTATAGATCTATCTTATTCACACTGGTGCATAGTATTCCATAGTAGGGATAGACATGGTTCATTTGGACTTTCCCTTGTTGATAGACATTTTGTTTGTATTCATGATTGCAACAGTGTTGTAATAAACATTCTAGTATGCCTTTTTCAGCCCATTTGCTAGGGCTTCTTGGATTGCTACCAAGAAGCTAAGTTGCTGGAACACACAACAACCATGTTTTAAATTTTAAAAGTCACTGCCTTGGGTCCTCCATAGAGCCTATAACCAGTTCACTTTTCTGTCAGTGGCATGTAAGAGAACCCACTTACCCACATCTTCATGACATTGATGTTATGTGTGGCAGACGTAACCAGTTGTCTGCTAAAGAGTCCTGCTCTTGTTCTATAGTCTAGAGTTGTTGCTAAGAGGCAGCCACCCAGTTAAGACTGCATTTCCCAGCCTCTCTTGCCTTTAGGTAAGGACATGTCACTGGTCTGCCCAAAGCAAATTGGGCAGAAGTAATAAGCTGGCCTGTACAAACCTCTGGTGCAATCCCTTTCTTGTAAGGGGGGCAGAGGATCTAGTGAAAAGCTCCAAGGCCCATGGGGGTAAACAGAGCCACCGGAGGGAATCAGTCTGAGCCTGTGAATGTCGTCGTGGAACTGAGCATCTCTCCCTGTCACTGCTGATTGGTCTTTAGCTGTAGAGAAAATTAAGTCTATTGTATTAAGTTGCTGAGATTTTTGAGGTTTATCTGTTAATAGCAGCTAGCATTCTCTTACTAATATATTATTTCACTTTGGCCAATCTGATGAGTAAAAATTGTTTTAATTTGCATTTCCCTGGATGCTAGTGAAATTGGGCATGTTTTCATATATTTATTTGTCACTGGCACTTTAAATATGGACTCTTTTAATCTATAATAGTCTATTAATTCACTGTTATAACCATTTAGGGATAAATATTTGCCCTGGGTCCTATTGCTAGTAAGTGATGAAGGCAGATTCTAAACTCAAGTCTGTCTGGCTCCAAAGCCATTTGAGGTGGTGGATGGGCAGAGTCTGGGGCAAGGTGAACATTAGTTCATCTCGACAGGGGATTAGTTTTCACGCTTTTATTTTTAGTCATGGAAACCTGCCTTCAAAGGAAATTTTATGTGGTGACTTAATAACAGATGATGATGATGACGATGATAATGATGATGGTGATGAGGATGAAGAAGAGGATGATGAGCATCAGAGTCAAGCTTTTAGGCTGGAGGGAGACCAGGTCTTTCCATAGGAGAATCCTTATTACTTTTCTATATTCATTCATTTCTTCATTCATTCAAAAAATATTTGGTGAACATTTCTTATATTTTAGGTACTGTTCCAGAACTTTGGGAAACAACAGTGAACGAGACAAAATGTCCGCCCCCATGAAGGGCTAATACATCACATAACTCCAGGGGGCATCACTCATCTTGTATCATATATAAATGGCAACTTCTGGAGCTGTGCAATGTGGTCCGCTGGCCCATGGACCTAACACTCTAGTGGAGATGACAGATAATAAACAGGTAGACAAATAAGTAGAGAGTATCCTAGCAGGGGCTATATGTGCTATGAAAAAAAGACAGCAGGGAAAAGGGTGTAGAGGGAGGGTCTTCCTGTTTATTGGGAGTACTAAAAACCCAGAGAAGGGGAAAACATGCAGAACTATGGAGTAGGAAATGGTGTTGTTTTCTTGCATTGTGTGCCACACACAGGCTCCTCTGGGCTCCCATAAGCATTAACTGTAAGTAGAGCAATAGTACTTAAACTTGGCTGCAATTAGAATCACCTAGAGACTTTTAAAAATTACTGATTCCTGGGTCTCACTCCAGGGATTCAGGTTTAATTGATCTACGGTGTCACCCGGGCATAAGGATTTCTTAAAACTCCCCTCTGTCATCTTCTGAAAGATCTTGGAATTGAGATGAGGAGATGGATTTAGCTCATCATTGCTGTGGGGATTTCTCTTGGGGTTTCCCTCTTCTCACCTCCAAACATGAGCAGAATCTTAGAAGGCTTTGCAGGCAGGTTGATGTAGCCCTGCTGTGACACTTGATTTTGTGGTGACCAACTGTCCTAGGTCACTAGTCACTTGACAAGCTGTTAGATTGGAGCAGAATTCTTCAAAAGCTCTGTCTGCAGGTGACCAGTTCCCCTCTCACTGTCATTAACTTGCATCCCCACCATCTGCTTACGTGTGAGATTGACATGTTTTTCTCCTCTGTTGTGACAGTGGCTTTTTTTTTAAAATCAGAGACTATCAAAGGGTTTGTCCCAATTTTACCTTCTTTGAGATAATTCCTAGCTCTATCACTTATTAGATGTGTGGTCTTGAGAAGGTAACCGAACCCTTCTGTCTTTGACTCTCTCATCCACAAATGGGGATAATGAGATCTACCTGGAGTCATATCAACCGGAAAGGGCTAAACAAAGGGTTAAATGGAAAGCATGTCATAAAGTGCCTGGCACATGGGCATCACAAATATTAGTTTTCTTTCTTCACACTAACGCCAAGACAATTATTGGGAGTTTTGAATATAATTCTCCAAAAATTCCCATTGAGAAATGCCTGTGACTTGCTAGGTCTTGCTAACGTTTAATGCCACACAAATCCCTCAGTCCATGGATGCAAACTTTGTCCTTCTACCCTAACTTACTCCCAGGCTTACCTAGGACTGGCTTGGTCCAAGTCAGTCATGATCAGTAGTGCCACACAGTGGGAGTACGGCTGCAAAATGTGAAGGAGGGATTTTCAGTTCCCATTAAAGGAGTTGAAAGATTGACTATTATTTTAGTAACTTTTGTCTGTTGAAGAAAAATGCCCTCCCCCATCAGATGGCATGAGTTGCCATTATATGGTTGTGGCATATATATTTTCTAAAGATGGCTACCATAACGCATCCTATCCCACACCTACTTCTCACGATGTACCACTGATACTCCATCCATGAAGTGGTGGGAATCCCTATTCCCTTCTCTTGAACCTGAGTGGACTTTTGTGACTACCCATGCAGCACAGTATGGCAGAAGTGAAGTTATGTGACTCTCAAAGGTAGATCATAAAAATTGCATGCACTTCCGCCTTGTTCTGTAAGGACTCTTACACTTGAAACCTAGCCATCAGACTGAGGAAACCAACAAAGCCCCATGGAGAGAATGCACGTTGTGTTCTGACTGACAGATGAGGTCCCAGCTGACAGCTAATATCAACTACCAGACATGTGAGTGAGTGCAGTGAGTCTTTGGGAGATTACAGCCTCAGAGGGTGAGTCACTCCCACCTCTCCAACTGATACCTGAGCAGATAAGCTATGCCAACTGCGCCCTGTCCAAATTACAGATTCATGAGCAAAATAAATGATTGTTGTCATTCGAAGACACTAAGTTTGGGGGTGGTTTATTACCAACAACAGATAATGAATACAATAGTCATTTTGTTATACTCATATTTTGTTATCTAAAACCAAGTTACACTGTAGTTGGTTGAACAGGAAGCTGCTAGAAGGGAAGCCCTCATTCCTTGAATGCAAGGATGTTGTTTCAGAAGATAAAGTGAAATTTGGAGTCAGGACTTTTGGGAAGAATGTTGACAAATATTCATTCCCTTTCCTTCCCACTGTGGAAAGAGGGTACTTCTCTGCCCCTCCTTGACTATAGGCCAATTTGCTATGGACCAAAGAGACATGGGTAGAAGGGGCAGTGTGCCAGTTCTGAGCTTGGGCTTTAAGAACATGGAAAGTTCCCACTCGCCGTCTTAAGCACGTACCATCCACCATGAGAAGAACATGGCCGAGTAGTCACTGCTCCTTCAGTCCCAGCCCCAGAATGAAGACACACAACAGACCTTGACCAGACCTCAAGCCTGAGGCCACCTAGACTCAACTGGGCCCAGGCAACCCACAGCCAATCTATAGCCAACCCACACACCTATGAGAAAGAAATAAGTGCTTGTTGCTGTGAGCCGTGAAGATCTTGAGCTTGTTGGTTTGTGCAAGAGTAGCTGACAAATTCAGGAGGCAGCTGAAGTGGATCCATCTCAAAGACCAGATCATGTGTACAAGCCATGTCTAATATTCAAACTTAACTACTTTGAGTCCTGGTCTTGCTACTCAGTGGTCAGCTGTGTGACTTTGGGAGATTTGTGTAACATCTCTGAGCTTCCATTTTCTCTTCTTAGAACACAAGATGTTGTGAGGATTAAGTAAGAGGATGTTTGAGGGGGTCTGTTCCAAGATGCCCAAATAGGAACAGCTCCCGTCTGCAGCTCCCACTGTGATGGATGCAGAAGATGGGTGATTTCTGCGTTTCCAGCTGAGGTACCTGATTCATCTCACTGGGACTGGTTGGAAAGTGGGTGCAGCCCACAGAGGGCGAGACAAAGCAGGGCGGGGCGTCGCCTCACCTGGGAAGCGCAAGGGGTTGGGGGATTTCCCTTTCCTAGCCAAGGAAAACTGTGACAGACTGTACCAGGAAAATCAGGACACTGCCACCTAAACATTGCGCTTTTCCAATGGTCTTACCAAAATGGCACACCAGGAGATTATATCCCATGCCTGGCTCAGAGGGTCCCATGTCCACGGAGCCTTGATCACTGCTAGTCCGAGATCGAACTGCAAGGTGCCAAGCCTGGCTGGGGGAGGGGCATCCGCCATTGCTGAGGCTTGAATAGGTAAACAAAGTGGCCGGGAAGCTCGAACTAGGTGGAGCCCACCACAGCTCAACGAGGCCTGCCTGCCTCTAGACTCCACCTCTCCGGGCAGGGCATAGCTGAACAAAAGGCAGCAAACTTCTACAGACTGAAACATCCCTGTCTGACAGCTCTGAAGAGAGCAGTGGTTCTCCCAGCACAGTGTTTGAGCTCTGAGAATGGACAGACTGCCTCCTCAAGTGGGTCCCTGATCCCTGTATAGCCTAATGTGGAGACACCTCCCAGGAGGGGCTGACTGACAACTCATACAGCCCCGTGCCCCTCTGAGATGAAGCTTCCAGAGGAAGGATCAGGCAGCAATATTTGCTGTTCTGCAATATTTGCTGTTCTACAGCCTCTGCTGGTGATACCCAGGCAAACAGGGTCTGAAGTGGACCTCCAGCAAACGCTAACAGACCTGCAGCTGAGGGATCTAACTGTTAGAAGGAAAACTAACAAACAGAAAGAAATAGCATCAACATCAACAAAAAAGACATCCACACCAAAACCCCTTCTGTAGGTCACCATCATCAAAGACCAAAGGTAGATAAAACCACAAAGATGGGGAGAAACCAGAGCAGAAAACCTGAAAATTCTAAAAACCAGAGTGTCCCTTCTCCTCCAAAGGATCACAGCTCCTCGCCAGCAATGAAACAAAGGAGGATGGAGAATGACTTTGACGAGTTGACAGAAGTAGGCTTCAGAAAGTCAGTAATAACAAACTTCTCTGAGCTAAAGGAGGTTGTTTGAACCCATTGCAAGGAAGCTAAAAACTTGAAAAAAGATTAGACGAATGGCTAACTAGAATAAACAGTGTATAGAAGACCTTAAATGACCTGATGGAGCTGAAAACCATGGCACAAACTACGTGACGCATGCACAAGCTTCAGTAGGCGATTCAATCAAGTGGAAGAAAGGGTATCAGTGATTGAAGATCAAATTAATGAAATGAAGCAAGAAGAGAAGTATAGAGGAAAAAGAGTAAAAAGAAATGAACAAAGCCTCCAAGAAATATGGGACTATGTGAAAAGACCAAATCTAAGTTTGATTGGTGTACATGAAAGTGATGGGGAGAATGGAACCAAGCTGGAAACACTCTTCAGGATATTATCCAGGAGAAGTTCCCCAACCTAGTGAGGCAGGCCAACATTCAAATTCAGGAAAGACACAGAACACCACAAAGACACTCCTAGAGAAGAGCAACCTCAAGCCACATAATTGTCAGATTCACCAAGGTCAAAATGAAGGAAAAAATGCTAAGAGCAGCCAGAAAGAAAAGTCAGGTTACCCACAAAGGGAAGCCCATCAGACTAACAGCAGATCTCTCTACAGAAACCCTACAAGACAGAAGAGAGTGGGAGCCAATATTCAACATTCTTAAAGAAAAGGATTTTCAACCCAGAATTTCATATCCAGCCAAACTAAGCTTCATAAGTGAAGGAGAAATAAAATCCTTTACAGACAAGCAAATGCTGAGAGATTTTGTCACCACCAGGCCTGCCTTACAAGAGCTCCTGAAGGAAGCTCTAAACATGGAAAGGAACAACTGATACCAGCCACTGCAAAAACATGCCAAACTGTAAAGATCATCGATGCTAGGAAGAAACTGCATCAACTAACGGGCAAAATAACCAGCTAACATCATAATGACAGGATCAAATTCACACTTAACAATATGAACCTTAAATGTAAATGGGCTAAGTGCCCCAATTACAAGACACAGACTGGCAAATTGGATAAAGAGTCAAGACCCATCAGTGTGGTGTGTTCAGGAGACCCATCTCACGTACAGAGACACACATAGGCTCAAAATAAAGGGATGGCAGAAGATCTACCAAGCAAATGGAAAGCAAAAAAAAAAAAAAAAGCAGGGGTTGCAATCCTAGTCTCCGATAAAACAGACTTTAAACCAACAAAGATCAAAAGAGACAAAGAAGGCCATTACATAATGGGAAAGGGATCAATTCAAAAAGAAGAGCTAACTATCCTAAATATATATGCACCCAATACAGGAGCACCCAGATTCATAAAGCAAGTCCTGAGAGACCTAAAAAGAGACTTAGACTCCCACACAATAATAATGGGAGACTTTAACACCCCACTGTCAATATTAGATAGATCAACAAGACAGAAGGTTAACAAGGATATTCAGGACTTGAACTCAGCTCTGCACCAAGTGGACCCAATAGACATCTACAGAACTCTCCACCCCAATTCAACAGAATATACAATCTTCTCAGCAACACATTGCACTTATTCCAAAATTGACCAGATAGTTGGAAGTAAAGCACTCCTCAGCCAATGTGAAAGAAGAGAAATCACAACAAACTGTCTCTCAGACCACTGTGCAATCAAATTAGAACTCAGGATTAAGAAACTCACTCAAAACCGCAGAACTACTTGGAAACTGAACAGCCTGCTCCTGAATGACTACTGGGTAAATAACAAAATGAAGACAGAAATAAAGATGTTTTTTGAAACCAATGAGAACAAAAACACAACGTACCAGAATCTCTGGGACACATTTAAAGCAGCGTGTAGAGGAAAATTTATAGCACTAAATGCCCATAAGAGAAAGCAGGAAAGATCTAAAATTGACACCCTAACATCATAATTAAAAGAACTAGAGAAGCAAGGGCAAACACATTCAAAAGCTAGCAGAAGGCAAGAAATAACTAAGATCAAAGCAGAACTGAAGGAGATAGAGACATAAAAAACCCTTCAAAAATCAGTGAATCCAGGAGCTGGTTTTTTGAAAAGATCAACAAAATTGATAGACCTCTAGCAAGACTAATAAAGAAGAAAAGAGAGAAGAATCAAATACACGCAACAAAAAATGATAAAGCGGATATCACCACCGATCCCACAGAAATACAAACTACCATCAGAGAATACTATAAACACCTCTACGTAAATAAACTAGAAAATCTAGAAGAAATGGATAAATTCCTAGACATACACCCTCCCAAGACTAAACCAGGAAGAAGTTGAATTGCTGAATAGACCAATAACAGGCTCTGAAATTGAGGCAATAATTAATAGCCTACCAACCAAAAAAAGTTCAGGACCAGAGAGATTCACAGCCGAATTCTACCAGAGGTACAAAGAGGAGTTGCTACCATTCCTTCTGAAACTATTCCAATCACTAGAAAAAGAGGGAATCCTCTCTAACTCATTTTATGAGGCCAGCATCATCCTGATACCAAAGCCTGGCAGAGACACAACAAAAAAAGAGAATTTTAGACCAATATCCCTGATGAATATCGATGCGAAAATCCTCAATAAAATACTGGCAAACCAAATCCAGCAACACATCAAAAAGTTTCCACCAAGATCAACTTGGCTTCATCCTTGGGATGCAAATCTCTTTCAACATATGCAAATCAATAAACATAATCCATCACATAAACAGAACTAAAGACAAAAACCACATGATTATCTCAATAGATGCAGAAAAGGCCTTCAGCAAAATTCAACAGCCCTTCATGCTAAAAACTCTCAATAAACTAGGTATTGATGGAATGTATCTCAAAATAATAAGAGCTATTTATGAAAAACCGACAGCCAGTATCATACTGAATGGGCAAAAACTGGAAGCATTCCCTTTGAAAACTGGCATAAGACAGGGATGCCCTCTCTCACCACTCCTATTCAACATAGTGTTGGAAGTTCTGGCAAGGGCAATCAAGCAAGATAAAGAAATAAAGGGTATTCAGTTAGGAAAAGAGGAAGTCAAATTGTCCCTGTTTGCAGATGAAATGATTGTATATTTAGAAAACCCCATCGTCTCAGCCCAAAATCTCCTTAAGCTGATAAGCAACTTCAGCAAAGTCTCAGGATACAAAATCAATGTACAAAAATCACAACCATTCTTATACAACAATAACAGACAAACAGAGAGCCAAATCATGAGTGAACTCCCATTCACAATTGATTCAAAGAGAATAAAATACCTAGGAATCCAACCTACAAGGAATGTGAAGGACCTCTTCAAGGAGAACTACAAACCACTGCTCAACAAACTAAAAGAGGACACAAACAAATGTAAGAACATTCCATGCTCATGAATAGGAAGAATCAATATTGTGAAAATGGCCATACTGCCCAAGGTAATTTATAGATTCAATGCCATCCCCATCAAGCTACCAATGACTTTCTTCATAGAATTGGAAAAAATTACTTCAAAGTTCATTTGGAACCAAAAAAGAGCCTGCATTGCCAAGACAATCCTAAGCCCAAAGAACAAAGCTGGAGGCATCACGCTACCTGACTTCGAACTATACTACAAGGCTACAGTAACCAAAACAGCATGGTACTGGTACCAAAACAGAGAGATAGACCAATGGAACAGAATAGAGGCCTCAGAAACAACACCACACATCTACAACCCCATCTGATCTTTGACAAACCTGACAAAAACAAGAAATGGGGAAAGGATTCCCTATTTAATAAATGGTGCTGGGAAAACTGGCTAGCCATATGTAGAAAGCTGAAACTGGATCCCTTCCTTACACCTTATACGAAAATTAATTCAAGATAGATAAAAGACTTAAATGTTAGACCTAAAACCATAAAAACCCTAGAAGAAAACCTAGGCACTACCATTCAGGACATAGGCATGGGCAAAGACTTCATGACTAAAACACCAAAAGCAATGGCAATGAAAGTCAAAATTGACAAATGGGATCTAATTAAACTAAAGAGCTTCTGCACAGCAAAAGAAACTACCATCAGAGTGAACAGGCAACCTACAGAATGGGAGAAAATTTTTGCAATCTATCCATCTGACAAAGGGCTAATATCCAGAATCTACAAAGAACTTCAACAAATTTACAAGAAAAAAATCAAACAACCCCATTGAAAAGTGGGCAAAGGATATGAACAGACACTTTTCAAAAGAAGACATTTATGCAACCAACAGACACATGAAAAAATGCTCATCATCACTGGTCATTAGAGAAATGCAAATCAAAACCACAATGAGGTACCATCTCACACCAGTTAGAATGGTGATCATTAAAAAGTCAGGAAACAACAGGTGCTGGAGAGGATGTGAAGAAATAGGAACGCTTTTACACTGTTGGTGGGACTGTAAACTAGTTCAACCATTATGGAAGACAGTATGGTGATTCCTCAAGGATCTAGAACTAGAAATACCATTTGACCCAGCGATCCCATTACTGGGTATATACTCAAAGGATTATAAATCATGCTACTGTATAGACACATGCACACGTATGTTTACTGCGGCACCAATCACGATGGGAAAGACTTGGAACCAACCCAAATGTCCATCAGTGATAGACTGGATTAAGAAAATGTGGCACATATACACCATGGAATACTATGTAGCCATAAAAAGGATGAGTTCATGTCCTTTGTAGCGACACGGATGAAGCTGGAAACCATCATTCTGAGCAAACTATCGCAAGGACAGAAAACCAAACATTGCATGTTCTCACTCATAGGTGGGAATTGAACAATGAGAACACTTGGACAGAGGAAGGGGAACATCACACACCGGGCCTGTCGTGGGGTGGGGGGAGTGGGGAGGGATAGCATTAGGAGAAATATCTAATGTAAATGATGACTTAATGGGTGCAGCAAACCAACACGGCACATGTACATATATGTAACAAACCTGCACGCTGTGCACATGTACCCTAGAACTTAAAGTATAATTAAAAAAAAAGTAAGAGGATGTTTGCAGTTTAAGTACCCAATACATGGCAGGCAATGCTGAAATACTTGTTCCCTCTTCCTCACTTTTATTCCCATTGCCACTGGGATTCACTGGATCTAAAAGTCTACAGAAGGGACTTTTAGGGAAAGAATTTAAGGGTGACATCCACATCTAAGATGTGTGATGGAATCTAAGAATCCCCCAAATCAAGTTAGCTCGGGAGGAGTCCCAGCCTGCTCTGGAAATTGTCCTGTTTTGATATTGTGAGGACTCTGCTGATTTCCCTTAGGGTTTAGCATTTTTTCATGTCTCTGGCTATCTAAGCTATGCTGAGATGACGAAGATGAAGGGGAGTTTTGCTCCCAAGTGGGCCAGAGTGTGACAGGGGTGCATCCTAGGCCTGAGGGCTGATGGCATGAGAGTCTCAAAGGGGAAAAGTGAAACTCAGCTTTCCCATTAGAAAACTTTCCTCACATCATACATCACACACACACAGACACCCACACACACATATATATATTTTATATATATATGTTTTATTTTATATATATATTTTAGATTTATATATTTTTATATTAAAATATATATATTTTAGAGAGATATATATATTTTATATATATATATCTAAAATATGTGGACATGTATCCGTCAAGATCCAATTGGAAAGCAGAACCACCATGACTATTATGAAATGAGAGACTACTTACATGGACATTAAACCTTCGCAAATGTGGGAGGGGCTTGGAAAATAAAGGCCCAAAAAGGGGAGTTGGGAGGTCAGAGGAAATTCTCTCTCTAGCCCTTCTGAAGCACTGGCATGGGAGGACAAGTTGGAGTCTGCAGGGGAGGTGGGGAGGTGGCCAGATGCACCAGCTGCCAGCGTGGGGTTGCAAAGGGGAAGGGAGAGGCTGTGGAGGGCTGCTCATAGCCACCGCTGCTGTGAGATTGCAGCCCCACATTAGGGGGAAGGCAGCTGTTGGTCAGCAGGGCCAGAGCTGAGAAGACCTGGTTGCTGAGTAGGGGAGAAATTAGGATGAGGTAGAATCCACCAGCACCTTTTTCTCTGTCTTTGTCACTAGATCTGGCCACAACGGCTATCGGACAATAAAGGCTGTTGATTTACTTCTGCCCTCCATGTCTCCTGCAAACTTCTTTCTCAGCAACTCTACCTTAGAATCCTAAAGAGAAGGGGATTGTAAGAAGCAGCTCCAGTGCAGCCAAGGTGACACACTGCAAAACCACTGTTCATACACGTGTGTACACGGTTGCAAAATTCACACACGCACATGTGCTTGCTGGAACAAATTCAAATGAAATCATAGTATAAAACAGGAAAGCTAATCCTTCCATTTCTACCTTGGAGTAACACCTTAAAAGTCTTTGTTTTTCCTGTGTGTAGATGTAACACATATGTGTGTATTCATCATTATACATGAATAGATTATATATATATTTACATCCTTTTTATATACAAAACCAAAATCAGGCCATAAATATTCTTTTGTAACTTATGTATTCAATGAATGCCTATGGACTTCTTTTCACATCAGTTTGTAGAGTTTTCTCTCATTATTTGTGTAGCATAACATTTTTTATATGGGCTGGAGATTTAGAGTGTTTCCTGTCTCTCTTTATTGCAAACAATGCCGCACAGACACACATACATACGTTTCTGAGCTTGTACACAATTTCTATAAACCATATTCCTAGAGGTAAAATGTCATTTTTAATTTTACATTTTAATGACTCTAAATGACCCAAAAGTTTAATGACCCAAAATTCTTAATGATCCAAAAGGTTATACTGACCTACATGCTCATCAACAGTGTATATTTTTTTTTTAATTTTTTTCTGTTCCTAATAGATTATGTCCACTTTTCTAATGCACCATTTGTCTTTTCATGTCCATGTGTTGACTTCAATATGATGTGAATATATTCTCCAATTTTGATTATCTTTTCATTTTGTTCGTGGTATCTTTTCAGTTTAAAAGTTTTATATTTTTTGTATTCAATCTTCTCCTATATGGTTTATAGGCTTAATCGTATGTTTAGATAACATCTACACCCCAGGATTGTAAAACTTTCATCATATTTTATTATGGAGCTTTAATTTTTTTCATAGTTAGGTCTTCAAGCCACCTTGAGTTTCTTGTTATGAGTATGTAGTAAAGAATTTAACCTTGCCCCAAAAGACATCTAGCCTTTGATGTTGGCTTCTGGGAGTTATGCCCTCAGGCCTTGACATGATATTCCTGAAAGAAGTGTCTTGGTTTGCCTGGAAGCCTTGGGTCACAGTGGGTAGTCTAATAGTACAACTTATGGTCGAGCTGGCCATGTCTTAAAGTAGGGACTGGCCATGTGATTTAGGATAGCAGCTTAGGGTCATGAGGTATCAATTGACATGGAGACTGAACTCAAACACATGGGCAATCAATCAGTCAACCATCACTATGTAATGGAGCCCCAATAAAAACTCTAAACTCAAGGCTTGAGTGAGCTTCCCTAGCTGGTAATACTCTGCATACTGTCATGCACCAATACTGGAACAGTAATGCATCCTGGCTCCACAGGGAGAGGACAATGGAAGCTCCACATTTAGTACGTCCCTGGATTCCACCCAATGAGCTCCTGCCCTTGGCTAATTTTAATCTCTTTCCTCCCCCTATAATAAACCATAATCATGAGTATAACAGAGTTCTGTGAGTCCTTCTAGTGAATTATTGAAACTGAGGGTTGTTTGGGGAACCACCCACACTTACAGTTGCTGTCAGAAGTGAGGGTGGCCTT
Organism: Homo sapiens; assembly: GCF_000001405.40. Lineage (NCBI taxonomy): Eukaryota > Metazoa > Chordata > Mammalia > Primates > Hominidae > Homo > Homo sapiens. The sequence goes on along the minus strand of NC_000020.11, from coordinate 4,493,027 downwards.
GTGTGGACTGTTCTAACTTTGCAGTTGGCTAAACTCTCACTGTGAGAAAAGGTAGAAACCCGACACGTTGTCTCTCTTTTCCCAAATGGAGACCCAATGTTGTCAACTCCTCTCTTCACTGACTTGGAAGGAGAGCTCAGTCATAATCTAAACTCAGGGAGTTATTAAGAAATAAAATATTGGTGTGTTTAGACATGAGACTAAACTGCTTAAGGAAGTTTGTGACTGGGTTGAGATGGACAGGACGTGTTTTGGGGTGTTTCTTGGGGCCATGTTGAAATCAGCAATGTTCTGAGGGAAAGAATAAGGACCCAAGACATACCAGTTCTACCCGTGTTTCTCCCTCAAGCCCTGTTCGCTAGTCATCATCATAGGGTTTATGCCCCCTCAGGCCATCAGCTGTCACACAAATGCATCCTCAAACAGGATATTGATTAGGGTCCTCTGGATGCCATCACAATGTGGGTGACCCATCCTAGAGTCCTTGTTTCACCGGTGTGCATCAGCTCTCTTTCCCCAGTCCCCATTCCTACACATGCCCCCCTCATGGAGTATTTATTAAGTGACAGGAATTGTCTTTGCAGACCTCCCATCCAACAGGGTCTTCACATGGTGCTTCTGGCCCCCTTGAATACATAGACCCACAAACCCTAGAATTCACCTCATGCAGTGGCCAAGTTTTTCCCACAATTCCATTGTTTTGTTTTGATACTTAATGAAAAACACACTGAGCATATTTGCACAAGAATCATCTTGAAGCTGGGGGGTCACTCCTCTCAGAGTAGAAAGTCATGGGAGAGAACAGCTTTTCTGACCCCTCCTGTTTTGGTTTTGAAATGCCTTGCCTAGCATCTCTAATTTCTAGTCACTCTTCATTTCTCTTTCCTCTCATCTGGCTGTAAGGATAACACATTTAATGCCTCCTTCCTCTTTCTTCAAAAGGCCAGCTTATTTTTCTGTCTGTAAAGGACACATTCCAAAGAAGGCAGGCTCCAAAAATCAAGAAGTCTTCCTTTTCAGCTTTTCTCTTACATCTGTACCAGGAGTCCAAATACCTTGACCTTTAGGCACCCACATACTTGATCCCAAATTTTCCCATGTTGAGGCTTGTCCCCTCAGGCTGGCTGCCTCCAAAGTGAGGACCATTCCATCAACCTTGCATTCCTGAGCCCCTGCCACAGGGGATGGGAACACCGCCAAACACTCCAAGTAGCTAAAGTTGACATCAGAAATACTGGTGAACACAACAGAACAAAATGCAATTTAGTAGAAAAAGCAAGACACTAGAGTGGTGCAGTCCAATGCGGTAGCCACTAGCTGCATGCAGCTATTAAAATTTCAATTAATTGAACATTTTAAAAAGGTAACAATTCAGGTCCTTAGCTGCCCTGGTTGCATTTCAGGTGCTCAATGGCCGCATGTGGCTAGTGGCTACCATACTGGGCAGCACAGATATTGAATTTTTCCACGATCACAGAAAGTTCTATGGAACAGCACTCCTCTACAATAAGCCTTTCCCAGTTTGTCTGGAGACCTGGATTCCAGCTCTACTGGGTTGTCTTGGGGTAACACTGGCTCCTTTTGTGACTATCACTGTACCTATGGCTTTTTTGTCTTCTCTATGGCTGTGAGTATTGTTTTCATTGATGTATCGCAAGCCACATATTTTGACAGATAATTTTATTTTCAAATTCCCACTGGGAATTTACATTTGATTCTCAACAGACCTGCTGAAATGAGAATGTGTGCCATCCGTTGCAAGCACTGAAAACCCAGTAGATTTAAATGACGATATATATGAATGTGTGATGGAAAAGTCCAGACATTCTTCTTCAAGGAACATGTTTGTTTTCCTATTTAGTAAGTTACCATATGAATAGAGAGGAGGTTTAGGAAATCAATGTTCTAGTGCTCAATCTGTTTATTAGCAAGGGGCCCCGTGTATGTCGTTATGCCTCAAAACAGTTTGGAGAGAAACATCTGTGGGTGGCAAGAGCAGGCTGTCACTATTGCAAGCCTTCCCCAGTGATTCTCTCAGCCTGACTTCCTCACTCTGCCCCTCTTTACAGGCCATTGAGACAGTGTGGTGACATTTTTATTTGCTGCCCAGATTTTCTCATTCTTGGGCTTTCTCCTCCTGGGGTATAAGTGGTGATGTGTCACAGTTTCTGCAGCTGGAGCAGGGTGCTGAATGGCATCTCCCTGTGTCCTCTATCACAGCAACTGCTGCATTATTGCATTTCACTTCCTTTCTGGTTTCTTGCCTTTGGAGTGTTACTAGCATCTCTTGGAAATGCACCAAAGTAGTCATAACAATTGCCCGAGGAGCTGGCAGAAAAACAAGTAGGAACAAAATAAGTGCCTCCTGAAGACAAGCGAGGTCTTCCATCACACATTTGTCCAGCTCCTAAAGCTGTTATCTCAGCCAGTGGAATTCCAGCTGTGGCCTGGCTGTGTGAGAATCTGCTGTCCAAACTGTCAGAGAAAAAGGAGGCATTGCCTCCTGAAAATGGCTTGGCTGGGTTCTCTAGTGTCCACATGCTGCCCTTAGAATGGGGTGGCCAAGGATGCTTCAGGGACCAGTATCTGCAGGCTGCCAGAGGCAGCTGGGGCCGGGCAACAGAGGTAGCCAAGGGTGAAGGGCAGGGGAGCAGGTCCTGTCTGGGCACTGCCTTTTCTGCAGAGTGAACCTGGGAGGTGCCTTAGCTCTCACAGCCTCAGGAGGAAATGGAGATCTCTCTCAGGGCTCTGGCATCCTCATAGAATTTTGATGCTAAAATGAAGTGCATGCATGACTGTGCTTCTCAGATGGTAGATGACATTTATTGGGTATGTGCTGGAGAAGCACCAGCCTTTTCCCTCTGGTTCCCCAGATGGGTCTGAAAGACTAGCGAGAACGCCCACCTGGCAGAATGTCTCTCCTAAACTATTTCATAGTCACCCTGGTTAAACCTAGCTCTGCATTCTTTATGCCACATAAGTAAATAGAGTTGCCCAAGTAGTCACTCATTCACTTTACCTCTAGCTACAGAAGGAAGGCTCTGATTAAGTTTTAAAAATAGGTGTCAGAATTAGCAAAGGGGTACTGGGCATGTTACCCCTGTGATAATGTGATTCATTAACAGCCCTGATTCTTCACCTCTCTCCATAGCTACACTTTTCACCACATAAGTTTTTAGTTTCTTTCATTAAATAGGTGGAGTCTTTTTCACCTATTTAATTGGTGATCTGGGTTTCATTTTGATCTGGGTTTCACTGTGTGACTTACTTTAGTCAACAGACTGTTGCAGAAGAAACAGTGTGGCACTTTTGAGCCTAGACCCCAAGGAGCTCTGAACAAAACAGATCTCGTTGTCCAGGTGTCCCAGCCAAGGCCAGCCTTTACCGGCTGACAGCCAGCCAGCCCCAGCCCCAGCCCCAGCCCCACAGCAAGCCCTGCCAAGATCAGCAGAGCTGCCTAGCTGACCCCAGCTGACCCCACATGCATGAGCGAAATAGATGCTTGTTGCAGAATGCCACTGAGATTCAGTGGCTGTCTCTTATGCGGCATTATTGTGGCAACAGATAACTAATATCCCCTTATAGAATGAAGGGTGACCCCTTCTTAGTATTGAGGATGAACTGAGAGTCTGTATCTCAGAGGGATAATAAGATTTTGTTAGCTTTTCTAGAAAGAAGTGCAGGCTTTAACATCACAGTCTCTTTATGCCATTGCAAGTTCTTAATTCTCAAAGATGACACTAGTGACTTTACTTTAGGGCCATCCTTGTCTCAGGCCCTGGGTCAGTCCTTGTCCCATTTTAGTAGGATTCAGGAAGCCCTACAGCACTAGCTCAATGATTCAGAGGCCAGCACTTGGCCGCAGGGTCTGTTCTATTCCCTTACTGGGTTCTCATCTTGCCTCTAGTGACTAAGTCTTGCTTTACTGGGCTTAGTCAGCTGTGGCCATTTCCATTCTCAGGGTACACATTCTCTCCACTCCTTTAGGTTGCTGGAGCCCTTTTGCTTAAGTCTGGTTTCTGGAATAAAAGCACCACACAGCTACATGACTAGGGTGTAAGTAATAAAAACAAACCCCAAAACAAACAAACAAAAAACAATCAAAAGTCTTTACTTGTCACCGCATGAGGCTCATGCATCGTTCCCACCACCCCTACCTCCTATCCCAGGCTGCCTCTACTCTATAAATCCCTTTTGCTTTCACAACTGACTTCTCTCATCACCATGCCCCAAGTGCTTGCTCCACTCTGGAGGAGTGATTTTTCTGTCTTAGGTCTTAGCCTACCACCAACTCAAATATGCCGGAAAAAGGAAGATATAGGGAATCTGGCTGTTGGGGACAGCTGCCGTGACACTGATAAATGCCAGGGAAAGATGCTGTTCAGCATCAGGCCAGTGGCCTTTTGCAATAAACGCTGACTTCGAATAAAAGGTTAAGAGACCTCTGATCTCATAAGAGCCTAGAAACCACCTTAGCAGCTGGAGAGTGATTCTATTTTAACCAAACTTAACAGAAGAGAGAGAAACCAGAGTGGAATTTCCCGAAGCATAATATTGGGGGATATTAGGCGTACAGAAAACATGAGGGGATTCTATAGTGAAAAATACAGGGAACACTGAGGTAAACATTTAACATGCTTCTTTGTTGTAGTTCTTCCTGGAACATTTTATAAGTGATTATGCACTGTCAATCTCCAAAAGGCAGGTTTTGAAAGTGCATTTTTTTCAGGGACTTTATCACAGAGCCTCTCAAAGGATGTTGTGGAACACTGATGTAGAGAAGAGGTTTGAGACCCGACATCCCAGCAATGGCCCAAAGGGTCTATGCAGAGCAGCCCGGACCCCAGGAAAGAACTCAGGCTCTGGAGGTGCCAGGGATAAGGTGGAGCAGAGCCAGCAAGCAGTGTAGCCTGGAGACACTTGGGAGAGGCAGGACATCTTCCTATAGCCAGGACTGGCAGCCCCTTTGTGCCCTGGAGATCTAGTCAAAACCAGACAATGGTTCTAGAAAGGCTGAGGCTTTCACTTTCCTGGGGAGTGGATCTAACTCTAATTTCTCTTGAACCAAAAGCTGGAGCATCTGTGTGGCATCAGGAGACATCCCAGAAAGGCTGAACTACGAAACAGGCTGTAACTCACCACCTCCTACCACTTCCACTCAAAAATCAAGTCAGTTTTTGTTATCTGCTAAAAGCCAGGATCAGAAATCTGTATCCTACAAGTGCTTGGGAGTTGCAGGCTCCACCAAGTCTTAACTCTCTTCCTTTGATCTTTTTGTCTTCTCAGCTTAGAATTTTTATGATGGAGAAGTGTCTTTCTAACTCCTTTTTTTTTTAATATATATATTTTTTTTGAGATGGAGTCTTGCTGTGTCACCCAGGCTGGAGTGCAGTGGTGTGATTTCAGGCTCACTTCAACCTCTGCCTCCTGGGTTCAAGTGATTTTCCCACCACAGCCTCCTGAGTAGCTGGGATTACAGGCATCTGCCATCATGCCCGGCTAATTTTTGTATTTTTGTAGAGATGGAGTTTCACCATGTTGGCCAGGCTGGTCTCAAACTCCTGACCTCAGGTGACCCGCCCACCTCAGTCTCTTAAAGTGCTGGGATTACAGGCGTGAGTCACTGCACCTGGCCTCTAATTCTCTTTTTTAAACAACCTTAGAGGATACTTAGGGGATATTTACAGTTCTTTATGAAAATTGAGGACAGAGACTTATTCTTCTCTATAGATAGGGCAACATGTAACTTACTACTCACACTGAGATGCTTTTGAGAAAAAAGGGGGCACTGTGAATAACTGTCTGAAACAACATACTGGAGCCAGGACTGACCCAGCAAACTGAAATGTGCGGTCACCTTGTCCATAGGTATACACAGATCTGTGCGACATGAGAGTTTCAGTAACAGATGTCAGACTTCGATGAGGCTGTGGTAATGAGGGGCCAGGGAGAATACATGGGTTAATGGCACGGAGGGACAGAAATCCTTTAAAAAAGTGGATGAGTTCTGGTTATTAAGGGAAAGTAGATTGTTACAGTTAAGGAAAGGTCGACTTGGGAGAACATTGGAGATAATGTTAAAATGCAGAGAAAGGGTTTTGCTTCGGTAAATTTTGGAGAAAGTTTATGTCTTTGAATTAGGCTCAAGTTGTAGCATAGCCTATTCTGAGGCTGATGAAATGTCCTGCTCTTTGTAAGGCAGGTGGGCACTGGCTTCTGTAGTTCAGTATGCTCACAGGCCTTTGCCATAAGGGACTAGGGATGCCCAGGAAGAGTAAGAGTTTGCTTTGGGATTCTATGATGTTTTAGTGTTGTTAAAATACCTCCCACTTTTCTACCATGTGGTATTAGGAACCAAGCAGTATTAGGATTTGTAAATTGCTTTTCATAGAATTACTACTTTCTGTAAAGCATGCTCGTATGATGACAGTTTTAAAATAAACTGGAGTAATTAGAGATGTGGCATATGTCTAGGGTTAGAAAACAGAAAATTTCTTTAAGTAGAAGAAATGTGAGACTAATTTCATGTAGATTGGTTATTTAAAAAATTTGTGTGTGCTCTTCCTCTTTCTTCTTCATATTATTTGTAGTTGTACTGTGTTGTTTTCCTAATGTTCATGAACACTATGCTAAGCATTATTAAGTTCCCATTTTACAGATGAGAAAACTGAGGTTTAGATAGGATACATGACTTGTCTAAAATCAGAACACCAGTAAATCGGCTTAACACCCAGGTCTATCCTTCTCCAAGCCCCATGCTAGTATTAACCTCAACACACCAGCCAAATTAACATGCCTAGGACAACCCATCATTGAATATTTGGTCAGCATTTCCAAATTTTGAAAGTATAAGAAATCAGAACCTGTCTTTTCCTTGATTCTTTGAATTTAGGAAATGGTAGTGGCTTCCAGACTAACAGAAAGTAACAAGAGGCCATGAATCTGTGACTTGTGACAATGGTATACCTTGTACATTTGAAACCCCAAACAGATCATTTTTAAAACTTCTCCTCTAGCAACAATTTTTTTCAGTAGCAATCATGTACTCATCAGTAATAATTACCATTTTCTTGATTTATTCTTTAGTTTAAAAAAAATAAAAAATACTAGATTTGCACTTTAAAAACATTATTCAAATTTGGTAACATATTTCATGTACGAATTAAAATTTGCATGTATCAAACAAAAACATGACCCCTTGATGTTTGTAAACTGTTTTACTATTTTAAAATTTAAACACACGTACAACTCCGAGTGGTTTCATAAAATGACAATTGAAATAACTCATTTGGTTTTGTACTCTTTAGAGTCACTGTGCTATGATTGTTATTTTGAATCTACTGTTGAAATACAGGAACATGGAGAGCCAACAGTGTTGGGTACGAGAACAATGCTGGAAGTCAGTTCAAACTATCTGCAACTTTTAGAGCCAACTTTTGAAATGAATGGGTGAGGCTGAGCCCACCTATGTGTCGAAGCTGACTCTATAACTGGGAGCGCTTCAAATTAACTCCTGTGTAGAATACAATGTTTATGAAGGATAATAAAAATGTACTAATAAGAGGCTTACATATGCATTATTAAAACTCAATAGCAATCATCGCCATTGTTTAGAAAGTGGTCTAACAAATGATTTTTTTGAGGAGAAGAATTGTATCACGGGCCTTGTTTAGAATTGCTGGCACACATGATAATAAAAAGCACCTTTTTAGCATTGATTTGATATTCTCTACAGACAATACACCCCTTTACTGCCTTTACCTGGGTAAACCACTCCCACCTCCCACCACCCATTCTTAGTATCCCACTACTTTGGGGGGACCCCAATCTGGTTTGGGGGCCACTTGCTTCCCTTAGGGAATGTCTACGCTGTTGAGATGCTTTAGGAAATTCATACTTTAATTGAAAAAACAGTTCTTTGTGGGGAGTTCTCAGTCATGTCAAGGAGACGTGGCTCCCCTCTACAGAGGGCTGAGGTCAGGAGGACAAGTTTGTTCTTGAAAACCTGAGTCTGATTTGGAAGGGCACCTGCTCTGAAACAGAGCTACAAGAAAAGATTGGTGCCATCAATAGGAGTGTGCCTTTTAGAGAAGGTAGACAGGAGCTCCCTGAAAGTGATTCCAGGATGTGGCTCTAAGGGCTCCCCAGGGACCATAGGCGGGTGATAAAAGATAGGGGCTTATCATCAAACCACGCTTTAATTGCCTTCCAGAGCTAAGTGGGTTGAGGGGCTCCAGCTGCAGAAGACATGTTCTGCCAAGCACTGACTGTCACGTATTCCTGTGAGCTTGCCAGAGATGAGAGCAGGCAAAAATTTCATAATTCTGAACAAATTATGGAGAGGGACAGCTTGTGAAAACTCACATGAAATTTGGAAAGATTGGAAGCTTTATTGTTCTCAGCTATAAACTGGTCTCTTAAATTAATGTCGAAGGAACTGGTGCCAAGTAAAGGTCTTGCCAGATGTACTTTAATGAATGAGAAAGAATAATTTGTGATTATAATTCATAGCTGTATTCAACTAGGCCCCGAGTGGTTGAAGAGGGGTTTTCTTTACAATGTCATTTTTTCTGATTATAAAAATAATACAATCATTACAGAAATGGCAGAAAAATATTAAAAAATAATAATCACCCACAATGTTATCTCCAAGAATTAGCCACTATTAATATTAAACTATACAGATTTTAAAATCTTGTGTTTTTTTTTTACTTAATAGTATGCTAAAACATGCTCCTCTGTCATTAATCATCTGTGGAATGCTTTTAATAGACACATATTATTTCATTGTGTGAAGTTGCCATAATTTATTCATCCTAGAGCATTTTTCCTGACACTTAGAAGGAACTTTAACATTTTATTATCACTGGAATTTGACATTTTCATTTTTTTCATATAATAAATAACACTGTGACAAACATACTTGCAGATAAATCTTCCTGTATATTTCTGGATGCTTCCCTATTATAGATTCCAAATTATGGGTTACTGGGGAAGGGTATAAACATGTTAAGACTCAGTACATATTTCCAGGTTGCTTCCATAATAGAGGTTTTGATCAACTTACCTCCCACCAGTCGTGCTAGAGAGGGCTTCCCTCTCCCCACTCCCACTGTCATTGAAATGTCCCAAATTCCCCCAGTTTTAATGAAACAAAACAGCATTGTTTTGCTGTAATTTTGTTTATGATTGTGGAATAATAAATGATATATCTAGTTTTTATCCCTAGTTCCTGGCATAGTTTCAAAAACCCTTGCAACATCCTGAGTGAGAGAAGTATCTTTGCTATGCTAATGAGGTGACTCAGGAAAGGGAGGGAGGGAGGGAGGAAGGAAGGAAGGAAGGAAGGAAGGAGAGATTGGAAATTTGGGTCAGAGGGACCTCTGAGGAGGGGAGAGAGGCTGAAGATTGAGTTCAAAGATGTAGCCAATAATTTACTCAATTATGCCTATATAATGAAACCCCAGTAAAAACTCTAGGCCAAAGCTCAGTGGAGCTTCATTGTTGGTGAAAGCACAGATGTGTCGGGCAAATGCCTCCCGATTCCACAGGGAGAGAAGCTCTGCATCCCTCTAACTTTGCTCTGTGCATCCCTTCATTTGGCTGTTCCTGATCTATATCCTTCATAATAAAACTGTCATCATAAGTGTAGCATGTTCCTGAGTTCTGTGGGTCATTGTAGTGAATTACCAAATCTGAGGGGGTCATAGGAACCCCAAACTTATAGTCAGTCTGAAGTGTGGGTGGCCTGGGGGCCCCTGAAGTGGGGCTGGCATCTGAAGTGGAGGCAGTGCTGTGGGGGACTCAGCCTGTAACTTGTGGGACCTGATGCAAAATAACTCCAGGTGGTCAGCATTCAAATTTTATTGTAGTACACCCAGTTTTGGGTGAAACAGAATAACGACTTTTGATAAATGGAATTGTTCTCATGATTACATCCAACAGATAGTTATTGCACACCTTCTAAGTGTCAGGGAAAATGCTAGATGCGAGGAATTCCACTGGAATTTCTGTGAGCAAAAATCACAAACTATTCTCATCTGTTAGGAGTTACATCTGGTGGTGAATGGAGACGTTAATCAAATAATCACCCACATGTAAAATTGTACAATGGGGAGGGGTATGGTGCTATGAGATCATTTACTAGGAAGATCTGACTTAGAGAAGTCAGGGAGGGCTTCCTTGAAGAAGCAATTGAACTGACCTCTGAAGAAAGAGAACGAATTCATTAGGAGAAGAGGAGTGAGTGGGAGAGTGAGGAAGCACTGTAGGCAAAGAGAGTGGCCACACAGAGGTCAGAAGTTCTGGGGTACAGGGAGAGAAAAGGAAGAAAAGAAGGAAGGAGGGAGGGAGGGAAGGAAGGAAGGGAGGGAAGGAAGGAAGGGAAGGAAGGAAGGGAGGGAGGGAGGGAGTGGGTGATGGGACTGCCAGGCTAGGAGTCTGGTACATAGGGGCATCCTATTCAAGGTGATTTAAAGTGTTGATGGGAAAGGTTTCTGGCTATTTTAAGGAATTAAAAAAGTACAGGAGGCAGCTGTGAGGGAGGGTTTCCAGGACCACTAGCACACGAAGCAGTGGACCTGCTACTCAGAAGCAGAGGTGTTTGCCTAAGAGCCCCACAGACCTGGGGTGTATTCAGGGAGATTTCAGGGAATGATAAGGACCTGAGAGCTAGGGAAGAAGGGAATGGAGCAGCTGATGTCTATATACCCCAAAGATGACAGTGCTGACAGGAAAGAGTTAAGACTGCCAGGGTCACTGTTGGTGGTTAGAGATGTATCCTGTCTTTAGTACTTCTTCCAGTTGGTTCTTTGCAAGACAAAGAGTGTGTATGTTAAAAAAAAAAAAAAAAAAAAAAAAAAAAAAAAAAAAAAGGACGAAGAAGAAAAAAAAGAAAAAACAATAAACCTGTTGGATTGCATGTGCAACTATTCTCAATGCCCCTTCCTCACCTCTGTGACAATTTTAACCCCCATGCATCTGACAGCAGCTACCCCAAGTGGGTTGTCTTGTGGGAAGTTAGTTCCCCTTCTCCTGCTTCAGTCTTGAGAAACAAACATGCTTGTTGTGATGAGATGTTGGAATTATAACAACTGCTTTCCGAAAGGCAATCACATTTCCTTCTCTACCATAGAAAATTCTGGAAACTCATTAGAGAACTTTAAACCCTGGGAAACTGTTTTTTAATTGAAAAGAGACTAGATTTATTAAATATACTTAGAAAAAATATATTTGTTTCGATATTTGAAATCAGAGACCCTCCAACAAGGGAGAATAACAAGCCCTGTCTACCTTTACATGTGCTTTGTAGATGTGAAAGAACAGCTGGTGGGGTCCATGCTCTCAGGATGACTTGAGAGGGTGCCTAGCACAGGGCCTGTGTGGCATTGAGTAGGCACTCAAAGAATAAGTAATAATTGATTCTGAACGTGAATGTGAAAATTAGCTCTTGTTCTCCTGGGATTTCCCACTAAATTTAGAATCCAACTTTAAGTCAGGGACGCAAAGTTTATAACATTGACCCAAGAAGTAGAAATTTCTACCAATATTTTATAATATGACTAAATTGGGAAGATAAGGAAAGAATGATATAATCCTCCCTCTCCCCCCACCCCCACACAAAAAAAAAAAAATCCCTGTGGTTTAAAGAAGGGATGGTCTTCCCACCGGGGCTATTGCTAAATGATCAGGTACTCCTTCATGCCCGGAAGGAAGCAGCCTCAGAATCTTTCTTAACAACATACTCCAGAGGAACATTACCAATTATCAATTTGTTGAGCAGACTTGGTATGCCAGGCGAAAGCTATCTGAAATCCCTTGCCTCAAGCTATTCAGATCATCCAATTAAAATGGTAATAACTAAATTGTCAATGAATAAATAATGATCTTTGTAAGCAAATAAGGAATCTGGCACAAAGGTGTCCCAAGTTACTGAATATTCACATCAATATGCAATTCTTAGGAACAGCTATAGTTTTTCTTTTTAAGTAGTAAAGCAGTTGTGATTGCTAATTAGGTAAAAATTAACCGAGATTCAAACGAGTCTGACTGTGAGGGTTCTGCCCACTTGCTCCAAGTGGGACAACAAGCTTGGATCTGCGGCTGTCCCACAGACACATGTTTAACATCAAAATCAAGACTGGTGAAGATAATATAACAAGGGCGTGAGACAGAAGGGATTTCAGGCCCTGGGGTTAGCCTAGAAGAGACTGTGGGGTCAGAATGGATCAACTTGCTAGAGACCAGGATCTCACTTAAATATCACAGCCACTGTATAGGGTAGATTTTATTTTTCTTTGACTCGTGCAAGCTGAGATTCAGACAGTGGAGCAGTGTGCTTAGGGTCACGCAGCACATGCAGTATGTAAGTGGTAGCATTTGAATTTGACTTAGTGACAGCAGGCTCCAAGGAAAGCTCTAAATAAAAACACTAGACTGCTTAGAGGTAGCAGGCATGAGGCCCCGAAGTAGATAGTGGGAGAGTTGAACACAAGGATGAGTATTCCAAGAACACCTAGAGACTGGACAACTGGGAGTGATGAGATGTTAGTAACCCTGCAACTTAAGTTTTGCATTTTTATTTACCTAATATTATTAAAATAACAGTATGCGTTAGTTAAGTGCTCCATTTAGAGCTGGCTAAAAACAGAGCTGCAAGCACTTCTAGGGTATGGAAGAAATAGGCCATCTGAGTAGAATGCAGTACCTACTTTTACCTCCCTATGTCTCCAGATGAGGTACAGCCTCACTACTCAGTGTGGTCTCTGGGCCAGCAGCTTTGGCTTCGCCAGGATATGCTTTCAAAATACAGAGTTTCAGGCCCCACCCCAGACCTGCTGAATCAGAACCTGCACTTTAACAAAATCCATAGATAACTCTTGTGCACATTAAAATTTGAGAAGCACTGAGTTCGGGGATACAAACCAGAAGAAAAGGTAGGATATAAAATAGCAAAAGAACCAGCTAGCTATACTCAGGAAAAAAATAAAGCAAAAAAAAAAAAAAAGTGTTTTGTTGTTTTTTTTCTCCGAGGAAAATAAAGGCAATTTGAAGCTTAGCACAGATAGATAATTTTTTTTCCTGGTAAAATTATAAGCAGGATCTGTTCACTTGAAACAGAACAAAAAAGACTGGAGACCTTTGAGAGTTGTCACATCTGGTGGGCACAAAACTGGAATGAGCTAAATAACAGTCCCACCATCCCTTTGTTTAGAAGCTGGGCTCAATGGCTTCAGGGTCGTTTTGTTCCTTTGCAACATCCCAGACCCAAGGAGATGCATGTTATTAAACATTTTCAAATGCCCATGATATCTTATGAGATGGGGCAGAAGAGTTGTAGGGATGGGGACAGAGGAGACACAGAGGACCTGACCCTGGTCAGAAAAACTGAGGGCGGACCCTGGAACACGGAGGAGTTTAGGAAAGTGACTATAGCTGCTTATCTTGGGCATTTCTGTTGTCACTCTGCCCAATTACATTTAAATTTTGGCTCTCCATAAACACAGCTTTCAGAAATGAAAATAAAGAATAATTTTTATTCGCCAAGTAACCATCTATTTTTTCTTCAAAATGGAAATAGCTTTTTTTATGATTATGAAAATAACACAATTGAAAAGAAATTAAGACAGTGAAGAGAAAATATAAAATAGAAAATGAAAATCCCTTCAAACCTGAGAGACAAAACTAGCAACCATATATTACTGTTACACACATGTGCATGCATGCACACACAACCACACACCACTCACATGCACACAATTGGTAGACCTGGCATCAAATGAAATGGCTTCTCCAATGCCATGCTTGTAGAAGGTAGTGCTCTGTGCTCCTAAGACCCAGGGATGGTTGAGATGGTCCTTTCTAGTTTAAGGGTTAGGAGAAGTAGTTTCAGGTAATTAACATTAATCTTTATTATTGTAGAACAGTTTCTTTTCTTTATTATTGTAGAATAGTTTCTTAACTCTCACTAAAAAATTAAAAGTCTTAATTAAAATATATTTAAAGACTTTTCATTAAAATCTTGATGCTGAAATATCAGTATTTCTTCTATAAAATTCGCTAGAGCAAGGTAAATTTATACAGCTAAAAATAGTCAATTTACCTTCATTTAACTCAGGTTTATAACCATCTTTTTCTCACTTTTTTTGAGGTATAATGAACAAATAAAAGCTCAATATATTTACCATGTACAACATGTTGTTTTGATATATGTACACATTGTGAAATGATTACCATAAACCAGATAATTAATCTATCACCTTGCATATCTTTGTGTGTGTTTGTTGTGAGAATATTTAAGACCTATTCTCTTAACAAATTTTAAGTATACAATACATTATTGCTAACTAGAGTCATCATGCTGTGCATTGAATCCCAGAGTTCACCCATCTTATAACTGAAACTTTGTATCATTTAATCAACATCTCCTTATAACCCTCTCCCCTAGGCCCTGCAAACATCATTCTGATTCTACTCCCTGTTTCTATGAGTTTGACTTCTTTAGATTCCCCATAAAAGTGAGATCATACAGTATCTGTCTTTCTTTGTCTGATTTATTTCACTTAGCACAATGCCCTCCAGTTTCATCACATTATTGCAAGGATTTCTTTTGTGGTAGGATTTCTTTTTTTCTTTTGCTAAATAATATTCCAGTATATATATCATCGTATAGTCTTTATTAAGCAGTTGACAAACACTGGGGCTGTTTCCGTGCCTGGGCTATTACGCATAGTGCTGCAATGAACATGAGAGTGCAAATATCTTTTGAAGACACTGATTTCCATTCTTTTGGATATATACCCACAGTAGGATTCCTGGATCGTGTCATACTCCTACTTTTAATTTTTTGAGGAGTCGTCATACTGTTTTCCAGAGTGGTTGTACCAATTTACATTCCCAACTGACAGTCTGTGAAGGTTCCCTTTTCTTCATACCCTCACTGGCACTTAGCTTTTGTCTTTTTTATAAGTCATCCTAATAGGTGTGAGCTGATATCTCATTATTGTTTTAATTTTGCATTTCCTTGATGATTAGTGATGTTGAACACTCTTTCATGTACCTGTTGGCTGTTCGTTTATCTTTGGAGAAATAGCTATTCAGGTCCTTTGTCCATCTTTAAATCAGATTACTTATTATTATTATTTTTTGCTATTAAGTTGTATGAGTTCTTATATAGTTTGGATGTTATCAGATATATGGGCTGCAAATATTTTCTCCACTTCCATAGGTTGCCTTTCCATTTAGTTGATTGTTTCAGTTGATTGTGCAGAAGCTTTTTAGTTTGATGTAGTTCTACTTTTATTTTTTAGCCAGAGGGTCCTGCCAGCCCCTCCTTCCTCCACAGCCTCAGCATTTCAGGGTACATCTCCCGGGGTCAATGCTCTGACACCCACACATCCTTTTTTATTTGCAAAACCAACACATCTGCATTGCATCAGGGAAGGTGGCGATTCAAAGACATGAGAGAAAAACAACTGTTGTTTTCATTACATTCAGAGGAACGAAGAAAGACGGGGCAAATCCCTCCCCATGGAAACCCTACAAACATAAAAATGGTTGAGAAGATGGCATTTTTATACCTTGCTCACTGGAGGATGAAATCAGTGGGTGAACAAATGGTACCTTCTGTGTCATTTTTCTGTGCTGTGAGAACCAGGTTTGAGGTGCCCCTTTAGGAAAAGTTTTTTGGTTTGTTTTGTTTTTTTACAAAATTCTTGGTTACTTTCCCAGATTCTTTAAAAAAAACAAACAAAATCTAACCCAAAGGCAAACACACACACTTTTAATTTGAGCTGATTCTAACCAATCCAGACACATTGGTTATGAGCTCCCTCAGAGCCAGTGTGCGGACTTGGCTCCCACCTGCTTCTTCTGAGGCAAAGGGTAATGGAATGGAACATCATAGTTGAGGTATTGGCAAGTGGTGGCCAATTCACAGGGCTCATTGGCAGAGGAGAAACTTGGCAAACCGCAGGCACCAAGAAGGGAAAAGCTCTTGGTATTATTTATAGACGTCTGGGGCTGGCTTGACAGTGACTCAAACTAAGCAAGCAGTCAATTTGGTGGGTGCAGCAAACCAACATGGCACACGCATACCTATGTAACAAACCTTCACATTGTGCACATGTACCCCAGAACTTAAAATATAATAAAAAATTAAAATTAAAATTAAAAAAAAGAAGAAAAAGAAAACTCAAAGGAGGCCGGGTGCAGTGGCTCACGTCTGTAATTCCAGTGCTTTGGGAGGCCAAGGTGAGAGGATTGCTTGAGGCCAGTAGTTTGAGACCAGTCTGGCAACAAAGAGACCCATCTCTACCAAAATAATAAAGTTAGCCAGGTGTGATGGCTCACGCCTCTAGTCTTAGCTACTCAGGAGGCTGAGGTGGGAGGATCACTTGAGCCCAGGAGTTGGAGGCTGCAGTGAGCTATGATCGTACCACTGCACTCCAGCCTGGGTGACAAAGAGGGACCCTGTCTCAACAATAAACAACAACAACTGGAAGGAGTCATGTTGTTAGGTCTTCACAGGAACCTCTTGCTGTAAGTGAACTTTTACCTCGTCCCTTGGCTATGAGGACTAAGCACTGATTTTTTATCTTACCCAAATTCCTACCTAAGGAGTCTATGGAGTCATGCCCTACAAACCATAAATTCTCATCTGATGGGTTTTATTTGACCCTATATATTGTGACTTACTTTCAATCTGACTCTGGCTTAACATTATGAGAAATGGAAAAAATACTTAACCCCAAAATATATTCCCTTGACATACCTTGAAATTGCCCTGCAAAATCTCTTGTGGGAAAAATCCACATTCTATAGAGAATCCCCTTCCCCCTTTGTTTTCCTTCCTTTCTTTCCAAATCCAGGAGATAATCAACTAAGAGCCAGGCACCCTTTCTAAGTCCGATAAGAAACAATTTACAACCTGCTCTCTCTGAAGTCTGCTATCTGAGAGCTTCCTCTGCACACTAAACATGGTCTCCACAACCCTTTATCTTTAATCTGAACATTCCTTTCTATGGATCCCAGGTCTTTAGACAAACTCAACCAATTGTCAACCAGAAAATGTTTAAATTTCCCTATAGCCTGGAAGCCCCCACTTTGAGTTGTCCTGCCTTTCTGAATCAAACCAATGTATTTCTTAAATGTATTTGATTGATGTCTCATGCCTTCCTAAAATATATAAAACCAAGCTGCACCAACCACCTTGGGCACATGTTCTCAGGACCTCCTGAGGGCTATGTCATGGGCCATGGTCACTCATATTTGGCTCAGAATAAATCTCAAGTATTTTACAGAGTTAGACTATTTTCATCAACAGCTACTTTGGTGTGATTTATGGCTCACCTGTGGTCATCTCATGTTTCTTCTTGATCCACAGGTCTGAAGGTCAACCTGCTCTCATTCTCACCTTCTACTGACTGATGATGGTTTTCATCATACCTTAAACATAGACTTTTTTTACTTGTTCTTCAGAATGGTCCTTTGAGGAATCCAGCTGGAAAGACAGTGATAGAGGAGGTGAGGTGAGCTGCCCAAGGTCACTAGGAGGGGTGGAGGAGCTGGAACTGCCTCCCGGCCTTGCTCTTCCTACAAGTCACCTGCCCTTGTTGGCCTTGCTGTGGCTCCAGAGTGTGCTCCCTGGTTACCACCAATGCTTGAATGACTGACTGTTCATCCTACCCCAAACCCTGGGTCTAGCGATGTCCAGAGCAGTCTTTCCTGTAGATACATCATTTTTCTCTCTGTGTCAAGTGGTTTTGTTCCTAGTATTTCATGGTTTAATGTCTGAAATAGTGCTTTGAAATTAGGTAGAATAATATTAATAATTCATTCATTCAACAAATACTGGGAACTGGTAATGCTAACAGGGAAACAGGGATGATGTCAGGCACTGGGGGTCTGAGTGTGTTTAAAATATCTTTCCCAGCTGCCTTCTTCGAGCTGGACGTTCCTTACTGCCAGTGATCCCATCATATTCTAGAAGTAAGATGTGAGCTTAGAGAAGGTGGCAGTGAAGAAGGAGTGGGTGAGGCACCAGGTTTACCAGCGACGGAGCATCTACTATGAATTGGGCACAGTGGTGGGTGCAGACCACAGAGGTGGCAGAAAACACAGGTGTAGTCCTGCCCACAAAGTCTCCATCCAAATGCCTATGCAGATATTAAACACATAAACATGCAAATACATATTTAATTAAAATGGAGATAATTGCTATAGCTATAGAAACAGAGCAATATGAGAAAGAATAAAAGGAAAGGACTTAACGTGGGGTGATGGTGTTAGGAGAAATTCTTTTTGAGAAAAATGAGGTTTAAGCAGAAACCTAGCAGAGAGTAGGAACTAGCCCAAGGAATTTTAGAGGGAATGGTGTCTCAAGCAGAGGGAATAGCAGGTACTGAAACCATGGGGAGGGGTTTGTGTTTTATCCTAACCAAGAGAGTGACACGATCAAATGTAAAAGGGCTAGGGGGAAAAGAGAGATAAAGATGAAGAGAAAGGAGATAAGGGAAATGGGAGGGAGAAAAGGAAGAGAGAGGCATATGATGGGAAAGGAAATGAGAGAAAAGACTCTGAGAAGTATGAAGTGTTGGGTGTTGTCATCATAGGCCTGTGACATTGAAGGAGGTTGGGAGGTTTAGGGTTGAGAGACAGCCTTATAGAGCACAACCATACCCCCAGAGCCAGCTCCAGACTGGGATTCTGGGTGGAGGGAGACCATGGAGGCCTTGGTCATCTTCTGAGACAGAAGTCAGAAGACCTCCCACAGGGCATCAACTGGGGCTCTGCTCCAGGCAGCTCCAAGCAGCTCAGGGTTCAGAGATAATGAGAGAGACCCTTTTTGGCTCTGCCAAACAGAGGCCTCATGTCCTTACCCCTGGGGAGGCTAATACTGAATGTTTGTGGCATGCACACACTTCTGGAAAGCCTGGACCCACCAGGAGGTGGTTTTGCAGATTGAACAAAAGCCCAGTTCTTTAGAATCTGGGCTTAGAAAATAATTAATTGTCACTTGGTACAATCAGTATTATAACTACAGATATCATCTTACAATAGTTGTATTTCTTATTTTATAAATAAGAGATAAGGATTTGATTAAAAGCTGTTATGAAAACTTATACAAAACTTGGAAATAAGGCAAAAGAATGACTGCATGTCCTTTCAATGTTACAATGGAGTATTGTCTAAGAGGTTCTCCCAAAGATTATTCAGGCAATGGACCTCTATTAAACTCACTATTTACTATGATATATGGCCCAGACTCTAAGAAGGACGTGCATGTCCTCTAGCCCAGCTATGTGTCCTACAGTGCAGTTATATGTCGCTCTCCTCAATCTATTTTTTTTTTGAGACAGAGTCTCACTCTGTTGCCCAGGCTGGAGTGCGGTGGCACAATCTCTGTTCACTGCAACCTCCTCCTCCTTGTTTCAAGTGATTCCCCTGCCTTGGCCTCCCAAGCTGGGGTTTCAGGCATGTGCCACTACGCTCAGCTAATTTTTGTCTTTTTAGTAGAGTTGGGGTTTCTGAGATACCTCATTCTTCACATGTGAAGGGGAGCTAACCTCACAAGTCTATGAGGAGGAGAAGGTGAGACAGTGTTGTGGGACGGCACCCTGAAATGCTAAGCATGGGTAAAGCACATTGTGGAGAGCATAGCAAAACATCAGGTAAAAAGTAATTGAACAGAGAAACTGTCTCCACATGGACTACATTAGTAATATTTTTCCTTATTTTAGACTATTCCTTTATGGAAAAACATGCCTCTCCATCATCAGAAATAACCTCCAGACATGTTTATACACATCCATGCACACCTTGCACCTAGCAAATAATTGTCTGCTGCCTTTCATAAATTGACACTGAGAGCTTAGCCTTTAGCATGACAGCTTTCACAATAATGTGATGCCTGAGCCATTTCCAGATACTTTGTCTACAGTGAAAAATGTGAGCTAGAAAAATGAGCTGCTGCTTTTGCCGCATGGCTGTGACACATGCCCCACATCTGTGCCAACTTGGGCCAAAGGTTGGTGGTGGAATCCAATCCTGTAGGGAGATGTTTTCAGGGTGAGTGACGGGAAGTATTGCATCTCTGTGCTCTTTGATCTCTGGAAGGACCCAGGGGATGCAAAGATGGAGGGATGACTTCTGCTAGCTTTCTGGGGTGAGAGAAGGAGGAAACCCTTGCTTTTGGAAACACCTGAGTTAACAGGCTCTAGTGGTGGTGGAGAGGAGTTTCTGGGAAGAAAATCTGAGCGTTTAAATGGCAGGTGGATGAGCATTTGACTGAGTATTTGATCAAGTCTCTGCATTTGAAGGATAGGAAGAGACTTTTGTGACATGCAAAGTCATTTGTAAATGGTGGATCTGATTTCATTCTTTTTATTACAAAACAAAGCTTTCATTAAGACCCCTTCTCCCTTCTTCTTGGGCCATATTAGCACAAAAACTGAAAGGTTTGGGCTACCTTCCCAGAACAAAATGAGGGGTGTATGTGTGCACGCATGGTTCTAAATTATCAGATTCTTGTCTGTTTTTCCCTCAAGGTCATCCTGGAGTACACAGAAATAGTAACTATTTTCAATTCTTTCTTTATTTTTTTAAGGTCATGCAACTTTAGTCTTATGCTATGTTTCTTTGTCTAAATACCTGGCGTGTGTGTGTGTGTGTGTGTGTGTGTGTGTGTGTGTGTGTATAAGAATTAATTGTCCTGCAAAAAGAAAAACAACTGATGAGCCAGATCAGTACTCAAGGAGATGGATTGCTTGTGTTAGTAATGATATTACTGGTGATATTAGTATTAATGTCATTATCACTATTTATTGCTATAAATATTAGTATTAGTGTTAGATAGTTGGAGTAAATGACCTTTGAGGAGTAAACCAACCCTAAGATTTTAAGATTTTTTGATTTTGTGATATTTGTATTGAATTACCCCTTAGGCTATTAAATCACATGCTCAACGCACTTACGTTTGGGTTTGTACCCATTAATTCCCATTTTTACTCACATAGAGAAGGGGAGACAGCATTTTAGGTGGAAGGGACAGCCCATGCAAAGGCCTGGAGGTGGAAATGAGTCTGTGAGGGCAAGGGGACTCCTGAGGAAGTTGGTTCCTCCAGTCATATGTTCACCTTGGACCTTTGGTTGAGACCAGGATTGGGGAGCAGCCCAGCAGGGCCATGTGGACCTTCTTTAAGGCCTGAGTTAGAAGATGGTTCAGTTAAAGTAGGAACACTCATGAAAGGGTGATGTTTCCATTTGGGCCAAACCTGGGGCTAGGTGAGGGTATGCTTGGCAACCTGCAGCCTTCTTGCCCATGAACTTTTGAGAACATAAACATCCTTGCCCTCTTTATGAAGGATCAATGAGGCTAGCCTTACTTTGGTGAATGTCAATTAGTGCTGTCAGCCAAAGTAGATAACACTTTAGATCATTTCTTTCATCAGAACTTGGTCAATTCCATGAGCAGCCCAGGAACTCTGCTTAAGAAATGCTAGAAAGACAAATAAAAATGAATGTTGCATTCTTGGAGATGAAGGCTTGGTTTGGGGTTTCCAAACCAACATTCCACACCCGGGCTTCCAGGAGCAGAATTGTAGAGACATGTGTGTGCACTTCCTCCTGCCCCAGCCTCCCAAGATGAGGGTTCTCTGGCTTTCGTAAGATTCTCAAGGGAGTCCATGATCTTAGAAAGTTAAGGAGCACTAGTTTGGTACGGAACCTCGATACAAATAGTTCAATCTTTGGTTATATCACTGCTTAACTCTTATGAAAATGAACCACTCAGTTGCTTCATCCATGCCCTCCCTAAAGGGATCCAGATCTTATCCTCTGAGCTGGCTAAGGATTGCCCATCGTATCCTTTCCTTGTTTTCTCCTCCCTCTTCAGGCTCAAAGGCTCCCAGACCTGGTCTCCCCCTTGGTTCACCAGCATGGCCACAGTTACAAAACTACACTCATAAGGACCAAACCAACCTTTTTAGGACTTTAGACTGTTGCCATTTCTATGTCACTTCAATTATTTGTTCTATCAGTAAAATATTTTTATTTTATGCTTTCCTGGAATTTAATAGACACCAAGCCTGGCTTCCTTCTACACTCCCTGCAGTGATATCCCAGCAACGTTTTTACAAATGCCACCATCCCCGTTACCACGAATAACCAACATTTGTAATCAATACTATCATACCCTATGTTAAATGGGCTGTTTTCTTTCTGTATATTTCTAGATGTGTTTCCTTTGAGCCTTGCAGTATTGCTGGAGGCCGGCAGGAGAGTTGCTCCTCATTATTTTCAAAGATAAGACAGCAGAGCAGAGCCTAAAGAGTTAAGTGACTGGCACGCAGTCTGGAGTAAGTTAGAGACACAGCCAGGAATAGAACGAAAGTCTGAATTTCCCTTCTTGCTTCCTGCCACACTATACCTTTGTGTACATTTTTTGATGAGGAGTCAGATTTTATTTTAAGCCACTCCAAGGCCCTTAACTGGCATCTTGTTTTAATTATGCCACTTGCAAACTGAATGTATTATGGTTTGACCACTTAAGTCACTCTGGAGGAAAGCTCTGGAACTGGGCTTTTAATTGGATTGGCTAAAGATAAATCAAGCATAACCACATGTGAATTTCAAACAAATGATTCTATTTTATTAGGCAGATAGAGTGAGCTTTTACCCTTGCACGTTATAGTTACTCATTGTCTCCTATTCCCAACATTGTTAATATTCTTTTCTTTTCCTTTTGTTTATCTGTTCTGCCGGAGGGTTAATATTTCATGGAGTTGAAACTTGGATTATTGCATTGATCTTATTAGGCAAAAAAATGCTGCATTTCCTTTATTTAGCATTCAGGAGCAAGATCTTTGCACCTCTGCCTACTCTTCTCTTTCCTACTCTATGCACAGCAGAGCCAAACCTAGAACAGCAGCCAAAGCTTCGGATGGTCTGGAATGTGGATTAAGAGCTGTCTGCATAGCTCAGAACCGGCCCAGAAGGAGGAAGAGAAATAATTCCTAATGTTGTCAAGTCCAACTCTGAAATGTCCAAAGCACTATGGAGCCTCTGGATGGATGGAAGTGACAAAGTCCCTTCCTCATTGTGATTATTGACAAACAACGTTTGCCTGTTTCATCACCTTCTGCAGGTACCAAGTCTCCCTGGTAGAAAGCCAAGTAGGAGATGAAAGTAAGGTAGGTCGTTGGGGGTAGTGTATTCGTTCTATGGATAATTAGTACCAAATAACCTTGTGGACCAACCAGAGTTAGCCCAGTTGGCAAACAAGTGTTTTCATATGTGCTGAAGGGTGCTATGTATGGTGCGGGGAAGTTGGTGGGGTGAGTTGTGTGATGAAGAATATGGAGACCTGGTTACCTCCAGAAACCTTTCTTATTTGAAAGATCTCCATTCTGGGTGTGGCCTGGGGAATGATACTGTAAAGAAGAGGGCTCACCTGGGAAGGAACCAACCCCGTGCAAGAAGGGAGTAGCTGAGGCCAGAACCGTGGCTATGGGATCCTGGGCCTGGAGCCTGGGGAGGAGCAGGGAGGCTCTGGGCCGTGGGGACACATCCTTTTTCATGGAATTTGCCATAGGAATCACATCAGAATGAAACCAGGCTAAAATAGCCTGGTTATTGCCATTCACAATATTTCTAGCGGCCATGTGGTAATCGGGCCACCCTCCAGGATCTCTGTGTCTCAATTAACAAGCCCCATTGCCTCTGGGCAAACCAATGCAGTCATTAATTGTGATCTGGCTATCCAAAGCCTTTCTCATTTAAGTAGGAAAATTTCCAAGGATTCTTGTTTTGGGATTATCTTTCAGGAACCTTTGGGGTGGAAAGAAATCTCTCTATGCAAGTATGAGTTGGCTTATTTCTTTATCACACTGGAAGACCTAGTTTGAAATTTCTCATAAATTCAAATAATAAGCAATACTTTGTCAAACCAGGAAACAAGCTACAGTGGCTAAACTCTTTGGATGTAATATGCCACTAAAGCATTAATGAAACGAGCAAGTGTATTCAGCATTCTTTAAGTCAACTCAGGAAATATTTTTTAACTCTTTACCTTGTACAGAGCATGGCAGTCTGTGAAAAGAATTTCAGGAAAGTTCTGTAGTGGGGAATGAAGGGCAGAGGGAGCCTGAATATAGGGTTAATATCTTTCCATTTCTGATGTTTCATTTTAAGCCTGAAAAATCAAGGAGAAGCTGGAATTTGACAGTTAAAAAATGAAAACATGTTGAAACCTACCACGGCATTATCTGGAGTCCTCACTTCCTAAAATGCAGCACCCCTGATGGAACAAGTTGCACTCCAACCTAGCTTCTATTGGTGCCTAAGCTACTTATGAACTGTGACCACATTTGGAAGATGCATGTAATACTTTTTCAGTAGCCTAAAATCAAATGGCCCATTAGGCTGCATACTGGTGACCTTCAGAAATATTCAATAGAGACGACCTTAGAGAGTGGAGGAATTTAATAGTGTGATGCTTTCCACTAGGCAAATAGACATTGAATAGAAGAAAGATTTGCTTTATGGTGGAAGGAAAATTTATCTGATAGGCAATTTCAGCAATGTGGAAGCATAGCCAGGATTTCTCCATAGTGACTGGCTCTCCACAAACTTACACAGCTGATTAAGTTTGCCATTGAGACCCGCAGACCCATCCTCTGCTGCATTCCTTACTTCCAGGAGCTCTGCATTTCAGTCTACAGGGCACTGTCCTTGGATACATATCTGTCAAAAGCTGCTCTTTTCTCTGATGTGACTCTTCTATGATTCACTCCAGCCAGTTGCTCCCATCACCTTTCTCCATCTTTCACTCCAAATGCAACCAACTGGCCAAGTATTATTGTTTTCTAGCTTTATTCCCCTGTGCTTAGAGATCATACTTTTTAGGATGTTGATACTTTGAATTTTGTTGAAAATTGCTTTATATCCCAGCAGCATATAATCAATTTTGACAAATGTTCCATGTGGACTTAAAAAGAATGTGCATTCTGCAGCTGCTGGATACAGTGCTGTGCTAAAAATCCCCAACTCTAACTATGGATTTGTCTATTTCTCCTTTCATTTCTGTCAGTGTTTGCTTTAGATATTTTGAAGCTATATTATTGGGTACATAAAAATTTAGAATTGTTTTATGGTCCTGTTGGACTGACTCTTCTGTCATTATAAAATATTTCTCTTTATCTCTTATCTACTTTATGCAATAACCATATACCGACATCCTTGGTCTTTTATTTAAGGTATGCATGTTGGATTATATCTTATAATCCTCTTACTTTTAATCTTTCTGTATCTTTATACTTAAAGTGTGTTTCTTATAAGCAATAGTTTTTAAGTCTAATTTCACAATCTTTCTCTTTTAAATGGAATAAGTCTACATATTCATATTTAATGATATATTTGAGTTTAAATCTGTTATTCTACAATTTATTTTCTATTATTAGCCCACCTCTGTTTGTTTCTTTTTATCCCTTTCTTGCCTTTTTTTGACCAATCAAGTATTTTTATTGATCTGTTTTATCCCTCTATTGGCTTGTTAGTTATATGATCTTTTACTATTTTTAAATGTTACCCTCAAAATCACAGCATTTATTCATGATTTAGAATATAATATACATTAATATTTTACCACTGTTTGTAAAATTCAAGGTCTTTAGAACACTTTAACTCTATTTATTCCCTCTGTATTCTATTTTATAAAGTAGGCCTTTGAAATTATTTACACTTCCCTGTTTCTTTATTGTTGTTACTCATCTGTTATGACATCACATCCTTTTATGTGCTTATATTTTGCTTTATCTTTCTGTTATTTAGCATACAATTTAAAGTAATTTTTTCAAGGATTTCTGATGGGATGTTCTCAAGCCTCTGAATGTCTCAAATTGGCCTTCTCTTGCATTTCCACATAAATAACAAGTTCTCTGAATATAAAAGATAGCATTCACAAACTTGAACCCTTATTGATAATCTGATTTTGTTTTAAATCATGAGACTTAAAGGAGTATTTTTTAAATGGTAATTCAAATATTTTCCAGTTTTTGTCTCGAGGGTCTTTTCTCATTGGTTTTACCTGTTACAGTTCTCTATTTATTTATTTGTCTATGCCTTTAAGTGCCAAGCCCTATGCCAAGGATATAACAATGAAAGATATAATCACTGCTTTCAAGTATGCTCGGGGTTTAGATAAATAAAATACTCATTAAAATTTAATAGGTTAAGGACCATAATGTGGGAAAGATAAGGCAGCATGGGCTCACGGAAGAAGAACACAAAGTCCAGATGAGAGTCTCAGGTAAGGCCTCCTGGAAGAAGATGCAGGATCTTCTACACCACAATAATTTCTGGACAGTATTATTATTATTATTACTTTAAATCTAGCCTCTGCCTCTCTGAAAACAGCCATGATCATAATTGTAATAAACATATCTTTGTGCCCATGGCTGGGACTCCCTCCTAGTTGGCCTGAGAAAGCCTATTTATCTTCTCAACCAGTTAGTCCAGGAGAAAGTTACAACTGCAGGAGGAATTGTAATTTAATATTATTCGTGGTAACTAATGGCTGGAAGATTGCTCATTGGTCTCAGTACAGCCAGTTGACTGAGTTAGGGCTTTTGAGGAATTGGTGTTGGGAAATTCTAACGCAGAACCCATAGTTGGCCTCTTCAAGCACAGTGTGATAAACGACTTGAATGACATTTTCAAATACTCTTGGAGGCAGCCAAGCATGACATCTTAGCTTGAACATTTTTCACCTTCCTCTCCCAGCAATGCTTGTTTACAAAGATTGATGAGGCTAAAACAAATAATAAAAATTATTATTTGTCTTAATTTAGTTTTTCCCAGAAGAAGACCTTGAGACAAGGTTTCAAGTGCAAGTTGTGAATTTGGAAGGTGCAGAGAACACCAGCATTGAAGTGAGGCAGTGAGACAGGGATGGGAAGGGAGCCAGTAAAGGGTTCATTCTTAGGACAGCTACTACAAAGGGCAACCAGAGCTTCATCTCTAGTGGAGACCTCTGATTGCAAGTGTAGAGCACATGCCTTAGAGTTTTCTCACCCAAGAAGCAGAAGATCTAGGATAGCTGTACAGTAGTTCTGGGCAGACCATGGTTGAGGTCTGCTCCCAGAAGAGTTGATACCAGCCCTTGCAGCTGCCCTACGATGAGTGTGGGTAGAGTGGCCTTCAGGGAATTTAGAGAGAACCCTCACACAGAATAGAGATACTGGCAGTCAAGAGTGGGAAGGGGCTCTGTGAAGTAGTAAGGCCTAAGTGCTATGGACAGGGCCAGTGTCTGCTCCTGGTTCTTCATGCTGTTTGTCCAATGCACACCAATCCCCGTAAAATAACTTCTGGGATTTAAAAAAAAATCCCACTTTCTGGATCCTTGAAGCAAAACAAACAAACAAAACATGTTTGAAAAGCTCAAGCTAAATCATCTCTTCCCTCCTCCTGGAACATCCAGCAACTCAGGGCAATCCAACATGGTCCCCAGGGCCATCTTTTCTTACCTAGCCTGCCTCTCCTGGGGATAATTAACTTCACTGCCTTTGGCATAGCCCATTTTTCAACCAAACAGTTTGAGGGGGAAAAAATTTATTATTTCATGGAGCAAACAGTTACTGAGCAGCTCCTCTGTTCTCCCAGCAGGGCCGTTAAACACAGTAGTTATAGTACTTTGTGTTTTTTTGCCATTCACAAGCAGCTTCCTCCCTCCTGCAAATTCCCATCACAACAAATCTGTGGTCATGCACAGCCACTCCACTACTCTTAGGCCTAAGCCTAACTATGGGTTCTACCCTTAGAATTTCCCAACACTAATTCCTCAAACTTTCATATTTGTCATCATAAAGTATATAAAAATGATGACATGAATGATTGAAACAATATAATTAGTAAACTATAATTAATAACTATTTCAAACTTTGTCTTATGCAGTTATTATTTATCTTATAAAGCATATTGTATTTGCGTTGCAAAATACAGTTTCCTGCTAATTAGCCACAGGATATTAAAAAGTATTGAAAAATGTAGTCAGGCATGAGAAAAATAATAACAAAAATCATAAGTCAGAAAGATGAATATATGCAATCTATGTTCTCAAAGGAAAGTATAACAACTGGAAACAACAACAAAAGATTAAACAAATTTTATGAATACTCTTTTGAATAAATTTCTGATTAATGAGGAAATAAAGGGATTTGAAAACAGCTAATTGAAAAATAATGAGAATCAGAATAATTCACATTTAAGATTATGGAATATGCGTAAAGTTGTTCTCAATAAATTGTAGTATTAAATGCATGTTACATTTTTAAAAGTAAAAGCAAGAGAAAATAATTTCAACTAAAAAGTGAAGAAAAAAGGAACAAAGGAAGCAGAAATAAATATATTAAAATATAAAAACAAAAAGTAAAATTAGCAGCAGGAAAACGCACAATGGCATGAATAGATAGTGAATCTCAGAGAACGTCTTTGAAAAGAATCAGTAAAATGGCCCAGCTGCTGGAAAATCTAATTTTAAAATGCCATAATCAAAATGAAAAAAGGAAAGAAAAAAATGGCTAGAACTTATATAAAAGTTTTTAAAAATTACAGTATAATTAAGTGCTTTTATTTTGAAAATCATTTAAGATGGAAATTGTATTAAGAAATTTAGATGACTAGAATTGACTCAATTGGAATCACATGGTTAAATCACTTAAGGAAGAAATTAAGAAAGTTAAAGAATTATTCTCTCACCCCAAAGAAGGTGATTGTAGGCTGAAACATTATAAAGCAATGGCAATTAAAACTGGTTCTGGGGATGGAATAGACAGATTGGGCCAGCTAGAATGCTTTGGCAGCAAGAAACAGAAAAATCTGCTTGAAATTAATTGAAACATTAAGGAAATATATTACCTTATGTTATCAGGAAGTCCACAGGTTGGTGGCTCCAAGCAGCACATAATCAATGCCTCGAGGATGTCACCAAGAAGCCCAGTTCCTACCAGGTCTCCACTTAGCATCCTGACCGTGCTGGCCCTGGGCATGGTTGCAAAGTAACTGTGGCAGTTTCAGGCATCATATCCAGACATGATAAGATCTGCAGAAAGGAAGAGTCTGCATCTTCCTTGGGGTTCCATTTAAGGGTGAGAGACTTTTGCCCTATGCCAGCAGATATTGCCTCACATCTCAATGGCCAGCAACGGGTCACACATCCATCCCTAAAATCTTTGGCAAGGGAGTGCCTTAACCATGGTTAGATAATTAAAGACATTGGGTATTGAATTATTCAAACCAATACACAGATTGTTAGAATGAAGACTCCATGTCCGCTCTTGGTGTGTTTCAGGAGTGTTTTAAACTTTTCCTCATGTAAGTTTACATGATTCTTGTGAAGTTTATATTTAGATATTTATATTTTCTGTTGCTAATAAAAACAAAAGCATCTATGCCACTACATTTTCCAACTCATTGCTGTTGTTATATATGAAAGCTATAGATTCCTACGTATTAATTTTTATAGCCCATTTATTTGCTGCAGTCTCTTTTTGTTTGTAAAGATTTTCAGTCGATTCTTTTAGATTTTCCAGGCCATATTATCCACAAATAGGGAGAATTTAACCTTCTTTTTCCCAGTGTTTATAAATGAAGTATCATGCTTTTGTCCAATAAAAGTGGCAAATACTTCCAGCACAATATTAAATGGAAAAGGTAATAATGAGCATCCTTACTGTGTTCCTAATTCTACTGTTTACAAATTTCTTTTTAAAAAGTGTTTTAAGAATGGGTCAAATGCCTTTTCAGCATCAATATGTTAAAAATTTTCTCCTAAAATCTATTAATATGTTGTATTAGTCTGTTTTCACACTGCTATAAAAAATACCCAAGACTGGGTAATTTATAAAGGAAAGAGGCTTAATTGAGTCACAGTTCCACATGGCTGGGGAGGCCTCAGGAAACTTGCAATCATGGCAGAAGGGGAAGCAAGACAAGTCTTACACGGCAGCAGGAGAGACTAGGGCAAGGGGGAACTTCCAAACACTTTCAAAACATCAGCTCTCATGAGAACTTCCTCACTATCAAGAGAACAGCATGGGGGAAACTGTTGCCATGATTCAATCACCTCCCACCAGGTCCCTCCCTCAATACCTGGGGATTACAAATGGAGATGAGATTTGGGTGGGGACACAAAGTGAAACCATATCATATGCTGACTTGTAATGAATACCTTTCCTAATACTAATCTATCCTGGCATTTCTGAAATGGAAACTTTGTGGTCCTGCTACTAGTCTTTTAATGAGCTGTTTGAATCTAATTGCTGTTGTTATATTTACAACTGTAATATGTATATTTGCAAGTGAGATTAACATGTAGGTTTTTTTGTACAATTTTTGTTACATGTTGGTGTCAACGTTATCCACCTTATATAAAAAATTTTGCAACTTTTTATATGTCCTGGAAAAGTTCAAATAGCATTGTAATAACCTATCCTATGGAAGCTTAGTAATAATTCTTATGTGAAACTATCTGGGCTGATATATATGTTCTATGAGTTGATGGAGGCTTATTCTTTAAATACTTTATTTCTCTAATGAAAACTTGTCCATATAGTTTTGTTTCATGTAATCATTGTGTTTCTTCTGGAATTAATTTTAGTAAATTATATCTTCCAAGAAAATTATTTATTACATCCAAGTTTTAGAATTTCATTCACATTTGCATATTGAAAACCTACTTGTATAGAATTGTACAAATAGCCTTATTTTTTAAAATTATTAAGTTGTTGAGGTTATTTTCTTTTGCCTTTTCTTATTGTTTGTGCTTCCTCCCTTTTGCTTGATTAAATTTACTGCTTGTCAATCTATTTCATTCATTTTTTAAGAGAAATAGATCCTAATTTGTTAATTCTACAATTCTTCTAATGCATTGATTTTTGCTTCCATCACTATAAAATTCTTCCTTCTTCTTTTAGTTTATTTTGTGTTTTCTCCCTATTTTTTAAAGTTAGATACTTGGCCGGGCACGGTGGCTCATGCCTGTAATCCTAGCACTTTGGCAGGCCAAGGCGGGCGGATCATCTGAGTCGGGAGTTTGCGACCAGCCTGACCAACATGGAGAAACCCTGTCTCTACTAAAAATACAAAATAAGCCAGGTGTGGTGGCCCACACCTGTAATCCCAGCTACTAGGGAGGCTGAGGCAGGAGAATCGCTTGAACCTGGGAGGCAGAGGTTGCGGTGAGCCAAGATCGCGCCATTGCACTCCAGCCTGGGCAACAAGAGCGAAACTCCGTCCCAAAATAAATAAATAAATAAAATAAAATAAAATAAAATAAAATAAAGTTAGATACTTAATGCATTGATTTACTTAGTTTTAATTTTGTTGATATAAGTATTTAAGACTAAAATTTTTCTGAGCTCTGCTCTGCTTATGTCTCACAGTTCTGATGTGTATTTTATTTCTCATTGTTTTCTGGAAACAATGAGTAAACATAAATGTACTTGCAAATTATCTGGGTATCTTATAAAATGTAGACGCCAACTAAGACCTGGGGCACCCAGGATTCTGCATTACTAACAAGCTCACAAGAGAAACAGATGCTGCTGTTTACAGACTGCAATTTAAATAGCAAAAATAAGGGTTTTATTTTAATTCCCAGTTTTTTTCTGATGTTATTAATTTCTAGTTTCATTGCAATGTGATGATGTGATTGGAGATCATTGCCTGTATTATACTTGCTTCTTCAAATTCATTGAGCTTTTCTGGTGGCTAATATGGGGTCAGTTATCATCAATGATCATGTGCTTTTGTCAAGAAGATGCACTTATTGTTATTAGGATGCAGAGTTCCACCTATATCTACCTCGTTGCTTATTTTCCTTAGTTAATTTTTGTCCACTTGATCTTTCTTGGACCAAGAATGTTAAATTAAAATCCCCTATTGTTAGTGTGTTCCTGTTTCTTTCTCTTTGTAGCTCCTGTACTTTTGCTTTATCAAACTGTATCATTTGGTACTTAGGTACATAGAAATTCAAAGTATTATGTCTTTTTGATAATTGTCACCTTTTTGGAATGATATACTATGTCCTTGCATAGGAATATTCAACATCTAATGAGTCATTTCCCCTCATTAGTTTATTGGAATCATATTAAATTTATATTAATTTAATTTTATTAATTTAATTATTTTAGAATTAATTTAATATTTAATTAATATGATTCTTTTAAAAATACTAACAGCTTACCGGGTATTTTTTCCCTAGAACTAGACAAACTAGTTCTAAAGTTGATTTGGAAAAATAAGCAAAAGGAGCCAAGAAGATTCTGAAAAGGTCTGGCTCTACCAGGAATTAAAAGTATGGTCAAACTTCAATTAACTACAATGATGTGCTACTGGTTCATGGATAGAAAGATGGATACATGGAATAGAAATATAAGCCTTGAAATGAATCCAGATACACATGGGAATTTAGTATATGATAAAGGTGGCATCTCAAATATATAAAGATTTTTTTTTCCAAAAGTGTATTGGAACAATTGAGGAACCATGTGATGAAAGATAAAGCTGGATCCATATCTCTACTACACGTTCCAAAATAATATAAATGTAAAAAATAAAATAAAATAATTAAGAAGAAAAGATAGGTTATTTTACATTAGAGTAGGAAAGATTGTCTAAAAATAATGCAAAAGTTCACAGTTATAAAATAAAGCTTTGATAAATTGTGTTAAATTAATAATACAAAGCTGTCACATGAC